>NC_000009.12:106250855-106402370 GCF_000001405.40 Homo sapiens
ATTATTATTATTATTATTTGAGACAGAGTCTCACTCTGTCACCCAGGCTGAAGTGCAGTGGCACGATCTTGGCTCACTGCAGCCTCCACCCTCCAAGTTCAAGCGATTCTCCTGCCTCAGCCTCCCCAGTACCTGGAATTACAGGCACCTGCCACCACGCCCAGCTAATTTTTGTATTTTTAGTAGAGACGGGGTTTCACCATCTTGGCCAGGCTGGTCTTGAACTCCTGACCTCATCCCGGCCTCCCAAAGTGCTGGGATTACAGGCATGAGCCACCGCGCCCGGCCAGTCTTGGATTCTTTTAATCTTTCCTGACTATGATAAGATGGGTAAGTAGATGGCCCATATCTGAAAAATTGTAATCTGGAATCAAGTATGGTGAGTGCTTAAAAGAGGATTGGACAAAACTCCCAACAGCTATGGGGAAAAAGAGAAACATTTCACTGGGGGACTTGAGAAAAATTCATGGAGAATAGGGCATCTTAATGCTTATATGGATTTTAAAGGTTCATGGAGGACAGGGAAAGAACAATAAAGTCAAAATCTGAAATAGGATTGAGAAAGGAGACCACACCAAAGACAAATTAGTCCAGTTTTGCCACTTTTAGGATAACTGAAAGTGGGTTAAACTGTTTTCTTAGCAGGAAATGAAAGTATAGGGGACAATATTTGAAAGGAATTATCTTGGAATTTCTTACTGATTATTACTACTCTGTTCAATGGGTTTTTACATAATCTAGGAAGAACTCTTATTTAACATATCCTGAGCCTTTATTAACACGTAAACATTATGTTAGTTCCTGGGGATACAGAGATTAATACTACTATTAATAATAGCAAATATTTAAATAGTGATTCCTATGTGCCAAGCATTCTTCTCACACCATTACATGTAGTAGCTCACAAGTTTTGTGGGTTTTTTTTGTTTTTTTGCAATATCTCTTTGAAGTTGATACTTTTACTATTTTTCTCATTTTGGGAAAGATGCTTAGGTTGAGAACCTGAAGTACTGAGAGGTCATGTCACCTACCCATGGTCATCCAGGTGATTCATAGGAGAGCTGAGATTCTGATTCAGGCATTTGGCTTTGGATTTTTGGCTGTGAATCACTGTGCTATGCTACTTCTTCAGAATAATTCATAGGTTCTGCCCTTACAAAACATCAACTAGAGAGACTGAGATAAAAACCCACTTATGCCTCAACAAAGTTGATCAAAACATAGCCGGCCCCTACCTCTCCAAATGAAAGTGAAATAGAGGCATTTTCAGATAAGCAAAATCTGACAGAATTTGTCACCAAGCGACCTGCTCAATAAGAAATGCTAAAGGAACCTCTTCAGGCTGAAGACAAAAGATGACAAAAGTTAAAATCTTGGATCTACCAGAAGAAATGAAGAACATCAGAAATGCTGACTTTGTGAGCAAATAAATACAAAAGGTTATCCTTTTCCCCCTTTTGGATAGATTGGATGGCTCTGCAATTTTTAAGTGGAAAAATGAAATAGGGTAGCATAATTCAAATTTTTTTAGGAAAAGACAACTTGAATATGTCGTGTGTCCAGATTTTACATACAATTTTCCCAGTGAAGAGTTTCTCCATGAAAAACTGAGAAAGATTCTGTATATTTTTATTGTGTACAACTTGATGTTTTGAAATACGCATTCATTGTGGAATGGCTAAATGGAGATAATTAACATAGCTAGAATCACTTTTTAACTTTCCAACTTTTGTTTTAGATTCAAAGGGTACATGTACATGTGCAGGTTTGTTACATGGGTACATTGCACGTTGTGGGGGTTTGGTGTATGGATAATTTGTCACCCAAAACTGGGAAATATTCTATCTAGTTAAGTCTGCAGATTGTTGGAGAATTTTTTTCAGAGGCAGTCCCAAATCCCCAGTTCATTTATGACTAGAAAGCCTAAATGGGCAATAAGCCAATTCCACCTGCTTGAAACATCCTTGTTAGACAGTAAAGTCAAGTGGTGAAAGGATTAGAATGCAGTCTGGGAATTCATTAGAATTGGAGAAAGTCTCAGGCCCCAGATAAGTTTTCTCTAAATACACAGATTGGCTGGGGAAAGATGTGTAATTTAATAACAGTACCCAATCACATAACCACATCAAGAGCCCATCCAAGGATACTGATGATTTTAGAGAGTGTTCTAAGCTTATAGGAACCCCTTGCATATGGGGAGATCCTACATGTGTAACCTTGGTGTGACTCTAAGTTGCTTATGATCAAATCAATGTTAGGTGCAATAAGATCAGAATATTTTGAATGACTCATAAACGAGTCATTCAGGCACTAAGGTGGGCTTATCTTTGGTCAGATTCCCTAAGAAGCAGAGCCTGAGACAGGGTTTTGAGATCTCAAGATTTAGTGTTTGCATATATGTCTTTTTTAATATTTTTACTTTAAACCTCTCTGTATTGATAAGTTGTTATTTGTAAATAGTATATACTTAGGTTTTTTTTTAATTGAAATGTTTTGTCCACCTATAGTTAATGAAATTATTGGAATGTTTGTGTTTAGGCTTGTTATTTTGGGATTTGTTTTCTGTTTTTTTGTTTTTCAGTTTTCCTGTATTTTTCCTGCCTTATTTGGGTTCATTGTATTTTTTTCAAATATTTCTTTTTATTCATTGAGCAGCTTTTTAGCCATACCTCTTTGTCTTGTTTTTGGTAGTTACTCTATGATTTTCCTTATGTATCTTTAATTTATTGTAGTGAACTTAAAGTTAAAATTGTTCCACTGACATAAAATATAAGAATGATTTATAATAATTTCACTTACAGCTACATATTTGTGCTATTTTGAACATTTATTTTAGTTATTTATGTTATAAACCCTACAATACAATGTTACAATGGTTTAAAATTATCAGTTGTCTTCTAAGAAAATTAAGAGAATAAAAAAGTATAATCTTTTATATTTAGCCACATATTTAGCATTTCTGATGCTCTTCATTCCTTTCTCTACATCCAAATTTTAATCAGATGTCATTTAATTTCATGAAGCCTGAAGAAGTTGTTTTAATATTTCTTTTCAAACAAGTCTATTGGTGACATAATCTTAGTGTTGTTTATTTGAAACTGTCTTTATTTTGCCTTCATTTACTGAGGCAGGTTAGTTGTTTTAATTTTTACTTTTAAAATCAGCTCCATGGAAGTACAATTTATATACACTAAAATGCACCCATTTAGGGTATAGTTAGGAGTTTTAATAAATTCTTAAGCCTATATAACAACCATAAAACTCAAGATACAGAGCATCTTTATCACTTCAAACAGTTTATTTGTTTTTACAGTCCATCTCCTTCACTTCATACCAACTATGGGCAACCACCACTGTAACTATTGATTTTTTTCTATTCTATAATTTCATATAAATTGAATTATAGTGTATACGCCCTTTTTATCTGTCTTACCCATACAACATAATATTTTAGAAATTTACCCATATTGTATGCATATGATAAACAAAATTTCTTTTCTTGCTGAGTGGTATTTCATATGAACATTTATTTATCCATTCATTGTTGATAGACATTTGGATTTTCTCCAGTTTGGGGCTAAATATTATGCATATTCACATTAAAGTCTTTGCATGGACAAATGCTTTTATTTCTCTTGAGTAAAAACCTAAGAGTGGGATTGCTAGGTCACATAACAAGTTTATATTTAACTTTATCAGAAACTGTCAAATCATTTTGTAAAATGATTATGCCATTTCACATTTTACATTCCCACCAGCAATATATTGGGGTTGCAGTTACTCCACATCCCTATGAACACTTGGTATTTTCAGTATTTAAAATTTTAGGCAGTTTTAATGGGTGTGTAGTGGGATCTTGTGGTTTTAATTGGCATTTGTCAGGTGATTTATGATTTATGTTTCATATGCTTTATTGTCTGTGTTCTTCTGGAAAGTGTGTGTTTTGATATTTTGCCTATTTTTAATTGGGTTGTTTGTATTTGTCTTCTTTTTATTGAGTTGTAAGCATTCTTCATATATTCTGGATTGAAAAAGCCTTTGGCAGATATTCAAACCATGAATATTTTCTTCTAATCTGTCGGTCACCTTTATATTTTCCTAACAAAGATTTCAGAAGGAAAAAAGTTTTAATTTTGATGAAGTTTTATTGATAAATTTTGCTTTTATGGTTCTCTTCTCTCATGTAGTACTTAAGAAATCCTTGCCCACCCCAAAGTCTTGACAATCTCCTATGTTTTCTTCTAGAAATCCTGTTTTACCTTTGACCTTCAGGTTTATGATATTCTCAAATTAATTTTTAAGTATAATGTGCAGTAAGAGTTGAAGCAGATTTTTTCTATATGGATACTTACTTGTTCTAGCACCATTTATTATAAAGACTATTATATCTCTATCAATTTCATGACACCTTTGTTAAAACCAATTGATCATAAGAATGTGGCTCTATTTGAATTCTGTATTTGGTTCAATTTTTCTACATGTGTAATTCTATGTCAGTTACTGTAGAATTTATGGTAGCTTTATACTAAGGTTTGAAAACAAGTAGTAGAACTCTTGTAACTTTTTTTTCCCAAATTGTTTGGGCTATTTTAGGTCTTTTGCATTTTCATATCATCATAGAATCCACTTGTCAATTTTTATAAACAAATCAACTGGAATTTTTATTTTTGATTGCATTAATTCTATAAGTCAATTTGGCAAGAAGGGCCATCTCAACAATATTGAATGTTAAATTCATGAACATGATACGTACATTATGATGAAATATATATCTGTATCATACCCTATACTGAAAACTAACAAATTTATTGAAATTAAGAAATGAAATATATGTATAAAATTATACATTAATTACTATATATTAAGAAATTAAGAAGATATGTATATAAAGATATATCTCTCTCAATTTCAGTAAATTTTTTAGTTTACAGTGTAGAGGTCTATGACTAGTATAAATCTAGGTATTTTGTTAAATTTACCCTTAAGAATGACATATTTTTGGATGCTATTGTAAATGACATAAATTTCCATTTCCAGTTGTTCATTACTACATACAGAAGTATAATTGATTTTTTTTTTTTTTTTTGAGATAGAGTCTCACTGTGTCACTTGGGCTGGAGTGCAATGGCGCTATCTTGGCTCACTGCAACCTCTGCCTTCCGGGTTCAAGTGAGTCTCCCATCTCAGCCTCCCGAGTAGCTGGGATTACAGGTGTATGCTACCATGTCCAGCTATTTTTTTTGTATTTTTAGTAGAGACAGCATTTCACCATGTTGGCCAGGCCTGTCTTGAACTCCTGACCTCAGGTGATCCACCCACCTCGGCCTCCCAAAGTGCTGGGATTACAGGCGTGCACCACCGCGCCTGGCCATTTATAATTGATTTTTATATGTTGCCCATGCATTCTGCAACCTTGTTAAACTCATTCATTAGTATAGATTTTAGAGATTATGATTTTCTATGTACAAAATTCTATTACTTGCAGATAAAGAGAGTTTTTAAATCTTACTTTCATATTTATGTGTCTTTTATTTCTCCCTGTTGTTTCATTGAATAGATTAGGGCCTCCCATACAATTTTGAATACAACTGAGAGTCTTTGCCTTGTTCTTGACCTAAAGTTTCACCATTAAACATGATGTTGGTTCTGAGTTTTTCAACATGGCCCTTTTTTGCATTGAGGTTTATAGACAAGTTGCTCAGTTTTAAACCATGAAGGGGTATTAAATTTTTTCAAATGTTTTTTCTACATAGAGAATTATAGTTTTATCTTTAATTTTTAGGATATTAATATAGTAAATTATATTGTTTATCAGGTTAAACCAATCTTGCATTCCTGGGAAAAAAAATCCACTGTTTAGTGTATTATATTTTTATTTACTTAAGGATTTTAGTTGTCATTTTAACAAGAATTTTTGTATCAATTTTATGAGGGATAGTGGTCAGTAGTTTTCCTTTCTTGTAATATCACTGTCTGGTTTCTATACCAAGTTAATTCTGAGTAACTAATGAGTTGGGAATGTTCCCTTCTCCAGTTAAACCATGTTTTATAGAATCCATAAGTGGAGCCATCTGGACTTTAATTTTTATTCGTGAGCTTTTAAATTAAAAAATTATAATACATATAAGGCTATTCAGATAACATATATCTCCTTTAGTCAGTTTTGATAATTTCATCTTTCAAGGAGTTTATCCATTTCATCTAGATTGAAATTTTAGAATGCCTGCATTCCAGGGATGTCTTTGGAAAAAAGAATATGCTCTCTTATTCTTGATTAATATGTATCTTCTTTTGTTTTTTTTTGGTCAGTTTAACTAGAAATTTATTAATTTTGGTAATTGTTTCAAAGATCTAGCTCTCAGTTTTATGAACTTTTCCCTATTATTTTTTCTGTTTTCTAGTTTGTTGATTTCCATTCTTTATTAGTATCTTCTTCCTATTTATTCTGATTTTTTTATCTTTCTTTTTTTTAAATTATACTTTAAGTTCGAGGGTACATGTGCACAATGTGCAGGTTTGTTACATATGTATACATGTGCCATGTTTGTGTGCTGCACCCATTAACTCGTCATTTACATTAGGTATATCTCCTAATGCTATCCCTCCCCACTCCCCCACCCTACAACAGGCCCCGGTGTGTGATGTTCCCCTTCCTGAGTCCAAGTGTTCTCATTGTTCAATTCCCACCTATGAGTGAGAACATGCGGTGTTTGGTTTTTTGTCCTTGTGATGGTTTGCTGAGAATGATGGTTTCTAGCTTCATCCATGTCCCTTCAAAGGACATGAACTCATCCTTTTTTATGGCTGCATAGTATTCCATGGTGTATATGTGCCACATTTTCTTAATCCAGTCTATCACTGATGGACATTTGGGTTCGTTCCAAGTCTTTGCTATTGTGAATAGTGCCTCAATAAACATACGTGTGCATGTGTCTTTGTAGCAGCATGATTTATAATCCTTTGGGTATATACCCAGTAATGGGATCACTGGGTCAAATGGTATTTCTAGTTCTAGATCCTTGAGGAATCGCCACACTGTCTTCCACAACGTTTGAACTAGTTTACAGTCCCACCAACAGTGTGAAAGTGTTCCTATTTCTCCACATCCTCTCCAGCACTTGTTGTTTCCTGACTTTTTAATGATTGCCATTCTAGCTGGTGTGAGATGGTATCTCATTGTGGTTTTGATTTGCATTTCTCTGATGGCCAGTGATGATGAGCATTTTTTCATACGTCTGTTGGCTGTATAGAGGTCTTCTTTCGAGAAGAGTCTGTTCATATCCTTTGCCCACTTTTTGATGGGGTTGTTTGTCTTTTTCCTGTAGATTTGTTTGAGTTCTTTGTAGATTCTGGATATTAGCCCTTTGTCAGATGAGTAGATTGCAAAAATTTTCTCCCATTCTGTAGGTTGCCTGTTCACTCTGATGGTTGCTTCTTTTGCTGTGCAGAAGCTCTTTAGTTTAATTAGATCCCATTTGTCAATTTTTGAAAGTTTTTTGTGTCTCTATCTCCTTCAGTTCTGCTCTGATCTTAGTTATTTCTTGCCTTCTGCTAGCTTTTGAATGTGTTTGCTCTTCTCTAGTTCTTTCCATTGTGATGTTAGGGTGTCAATTTTAGATCTTTCCTGCTTTCTCTTGTGGGCATTTAGTGCTATAAATTTCCCTCTACACACTGCTTTAAATGTGTCCCAGAGATTCTGGTATGTTGTGTCTTTGTTCTTATTGGTTTCAAATAACATCTTTATTTCTGCCTTCGTTTCATTATGTACCCAGTAGTCATTCAGGAGCAAGTTGTTCAGTTTCCATGTAGTTGAGCGGTTTTGAGTGAGTTTCTTAATCCTGAGTTTTAGTTTGATTGCACTGTGGTCTGAGAGACAGTTTGTTATAATTTCTGTTCTTTTACGTTTGCTGAGGAGTGCTTTACTTCCAACTATGTGGTCAATTTTGGAATAATTACAGTGTGGTGCTGAGAAGAATGTATATTCTGTTGATTTGGGGTGGAGAGTTCTGTAGATGTCTATTAGGTCCACTTGGTGCAGAGCTGAGTTCAATTCCTGGATATCCTTGTTAACTTTCTGTCTCATTGATCTGTCTAATGTTGACAGTGGGGTGTTAAAATCTCCCATTATTATTGTGTGGGAGTCTAAGTCTCTTTGTAGATCTCTAAGGACTTGCTTTATGAATCTGGGTGCTCCTGTATTGGGTGCATATATATTTAGGATCGTCAGCTCTTCTTGTTGAATTGATCCCTTTACCATTATGTAATGGCCTTCTTTGTCTCTTTTGATCTTTGTTGGTTTAAAGTCTGTTTTATCAGAGACTAGGATTGCAACCCCTGCCTTTTTTTGTTTTCCATTTGCTTGGTAAATCTTCCTTCATCCCTTTATTTTGAGCCTATGTGTGTCTCTGCACGTGAAATGGGTCTACTGAATACAGCACACTGATGGGTCTTGACTCTTTATCCAATTTGCCAGTCTGTGTCTTTTAATTGAAGCATTTAAGCCCATTTACATTTAAGGTTAATATTGTTATGTGTGAATTTGATCCTGTCATTATGATGTTAGCTGGTTATTTTGCTTGTTAGTTGATGCAGTTTCTTCCTAGCATTGATGGTCTTTACCATTTGGCATGTTTTTGCAGTGGCTGGTACTGGTTGTTCCTTTCCATGTTTAGTGCTTCCTTCAGGAGCTCTTTTAGGGCAGGCCTGGTGGTGACAAAATCTCTCAGCATTTACTTGTCTGTAAAGGATTTTATTTCTCCTTCACTTATGAAGTTTAGTTTGGCTGGATATGAAATTCTGGGTTGAAAATTCTTTTCTTTAAGAAATTGGCCCCCACTCTCTTCTGGCTTGTAGAGTTTCTGCCAAGAGATCTGCTGTTAGTCTGATGGGCTTCCCTTTGTAGGTAACCCTACCTTTCTCTGTGGCTGCCCTTAACATTTTTTCCTTCATTTCAACGTTGGTGAATCTGACAATTATGTGTCTTGGAGTTGCTCTTCTTAAGGAGTATCTTTGTGGCATTCTCTGTATTTCCTGAATTTGAATGTTGGCCTGCCTTGCTAGGTTGGGGAAGTTCTCCTGGATAATATCCTGCAGAGTGTTTTCCAACTTGGTTCCATTCTCCCCGTCACTTTCAGGTACACCAATCAGACGTAGATTTGGTCTTTTCACATAGTCCCATATTTCTTGGAGGCTTTGTTCATTTCCTTTTACTCTGTTCTTTGTAAACTTCTCTTCTCGCTTCATGTCATTTATTTGATCTTCCATCACTGATAGCCTTTCTTCCCGTTGATCAAATCGGCTACTGAAGCTTGTACATTCATCACATAGTTCTTGTGCCATGGTTTTCAGCTCCATCAGGTCATTTAAGGACTTCTCTACACTGTTATTCTAGTTAGCCATTCATCTAATCTTTTTTCAAGGTTTTTAGCTTCTTTACGATGGGTTCAAACATCCTCCTTTAGCTTGGAGAAGTTTGATTGTCTGAAACCTTCTTCTCTCAACTCGTCAAAGTCATTCTCCGTCCAGCTTTGTTCCATTGCTGGTGAGGAGCTGCATTCCTTTGTCGGGGGGAGAGGTACTCTCATTTTCAGAATTTTCAGCTTTTCTGCTCTGTTTTTTCCCCATCTTTGTGGTTTTATCTACCTTTGGTCTTTGATGATGGTGACATACAGATGGGGTTTTGGTGTGGATGTCCTTTCTGTTTGTTAGTTTTCCTTCTAACAGTCAGGACCCTCAGCTGCAGGTTTGTTGGAATTTGCTGGAGGTCCACTCCTGATGCTGTTTGCCTGGGTATCAGCAGCGGAGGCTGCAGAACAGCGAATATTGCTGAACAGCAAATGTTGCTGCCTGATCATTCCTCTGGAAGCTTCGTCTCAGAGGGATACCTGGCCGCGTGACGTGTCAGTCTGCCCCTACTTGGAGGTGCCTCTCAGTTAGGCTACTCGGAGGTCAGGGACCCACTTGAGGAGGCAGTCTGTCCTTTCTCAGATCTCAAACTCCATGCTGGGAGAACCACTACTCTCTTCAAAGCTGTCAGACAGGGACATTTAAGTCTGCAGAGGTTTCTGCTGCCTTTTGTTTGGCTATGCCCTGCCCCAAGAGGTGGAGTCTACAGAGGCAGGCAGGCCTCTTTGAGCTGTGGTGGGCTCCACCCAGTTCCAGTTTCCCGGCCACTTTGTTTACCTACTCAAGCCTCAGCAATGGCACGCGCCTCTCTCCCAGCCTCACGGCCGCCTTGCAGTTCGATCTCAGACTGCTGTGCTAACCATGAGCGAGGCTCCGTGATCGTGGGACCCTCCAAGCCAGGCACAGGATATAATCTCCTGGTGTGCCATTTGCTAAGACAGTTGGAAAAGCGCAGTATTAGGGTGGGAGTGACCTGATTTTCTAGGTGCTGTCCATCACCCCTTCCCTTGGCTAGGAAAGGGAATTCCCTGACCCCTTGTGCTTCCTGGGTGAGGAGATGCTTCGCCCTGCTTTGAGTCACACTCGGTGGGCTGCACCCACTGTCCTGCCCCCACTGTCCCACAAGCCCTAGTGAGATGAACCTGGTACCTCAGTTGGAAATGCAGAAATCACCTGACTTCTGCATCGCTCACACTGGGAGCTGTAGACTGGAGCTGTTCCTATTCAGCCATCTTGGGACCCCTATTCTTGGTTTAATTTGTTTTTCTTTTACTAGTTTTTTGTGGTAAAAGTTTAGATCATTTGTTGAAGATCATTTGTTTAGATCATTTTTTCCCAATATAAACATCTAAAGGTATAATTTCCCACTTTAAAATGCTTTACCACCACAACTTTTTCTTTTACCATACTTTTCATTCATTTTTCTTAGTTCAAAATATTTTAAGTTTTTTCTCATACTTTCATCCTTGACCTAAGTATTATTTGAAAGTATATAGTTTGTCAATAATTTGTAATATTTTCAGATATTTTTTAATAATTTCTACTTAGTACTGAGTACCAGAGGACATAATCTTTAAGAATAAACCTTGGCCGGGCGCGGTGGCTCACGCCTGTAATCCCAGCACTTTGGGAGGCCGAGGCGGGCGGATCACGAGGTCAGGAGATCGAGACCATCCCGGCTAAAATGGTGAAACCCCGTCTCTACTAAAAATACAAAAAATTAGCCGGGCGTAGTGGCGGGCGCCTGTAGTCCCAGCTACTTGGGAGGCTGAGGCAGGAGAATGGCGTGAACCCGGGAGGCGGAGCTTGCAGTGAGCCGAGATCCCGCCACTGCACTCCAGCCTGGGCGACAGAGCGAGACTCCGTCTCAAAAAAAAAAAAAAAAAAAGAATAAACCTTATAAATTTATTTCAGCTTATTTAATAGTCCAGATTATGGTTGATCTTGGTGACTGTTGTATGTGCTCCATAGTATGTTGAAGTTTGGATCTCCCCCATTACATATAAATTTGTATATTTGATGGATTTGCTAAAGTCTTAGAGGCTCTGTTAATTTTTCTTAATTCTTTTTTTCTTTCTGTTCTCAAACTGGATAATTTCCTATCACCAAACTATCATTTAATAATAAGATAGCACATCACAACTGAAGGAAGACTTTTACAACTTAACTTTTATTTCTCTTTGTGCAATTTGTGTCATACATTTTACTCATGTATATTTTATGACACCCATAATAGTTTTTTTTGTTTTACATGGTCAATTATGTTTTAAAACATTTTTATTAGAAAAAAGTCTTCTATATTTACCCATATATTTTCTCTATTTCAGGTGATTCTCATCTCTTTGTGCACATTCAAATTTTTGTCTAGAATCATTTTTTTGTCTAAAGTTGTTTTTAAGCATTTAGCTCAAATTTGCTTCAAATTAATTATGTTAGCTTTTGTTCATATGAAAAAAGTTTTTACTTAGCCTTTATTTTTAAAGAATCTTTCTATTTCTTATGGAATTCTAGATTGACAATTATTTTTCTTTTTAGGGCTTTAAAGATGTTCCATTGTGTTTTGCTTTCCACGGTTTCTAATGAAAAATATGTGTTAATTATCTTTATTCCTTTTTACATAAGGTATGCTTTTTTTCTAGTTGCTTTTAAGGTTTGTTTCCCTCTTTATTTTGTTTTTACAATTCAATTATGACGTGCCTGCGGGTGAATCTGTATATGTATGTATTTCTTTTTTCCTGATTCTCATTGCACATTTGGATGAGTAGGTGCACTGCTTTAATCAAATTTGGAATATATTTGTACATTATTCCTTCCAGTATTTTTATGTCCTACTCTCCTACTGGAACTTGAATAACACATAGTTTGATTTCTCTGTATTATTCCAATAGCTAATGAAACTTTATTAATTTCATTCTTTTTCCTCTGAGTGCTTCATTTTGAATGAATTCTGTCAATATGTCTTCAAGTTCACTGATCTTTTCTTCTTCAGTATCTAATGTGCTTTATTCCTTCCATTACTTTTTTGCTTTTTTTATAATTACAAAATGTACATCAAATGTGCCATTTTAGCAATTTTCAGGTGTATAGTTCAGTGTGATTTAGTACACTGACTTTATTGGGCAATCATCACCCCATTCCCTCCAGAACTTTTAATCATACCAAAGTGAAACAACATGCACGTTAAACAATAACCTGTCAAATTTTTATTTCTTTAAATTTAATTAAAAATATATATGTTATAGCTGTGCGTGGTGGCATGCACCTGTAGTCCCAGCCACTTGGGAGGCTGAGGCAGGAGAATCGCTTGAACCCAGGAGGTGGAGGTTGCAGTGAACAGAAATCATGCCACTGCACTCCAGCCTGGGTGACAGAGCAAGACTCCATATATATATATATATATATATATATATATATATATATATATATATATATATGTTTATATGTTTATATATTTTCTACATCAAACACATGGAGAATATTTAAACTAATTGAATACCCTTATCTACAAATTGAATTATCTCTAACAGTTGTAGGTTTTCTTGTTTTGTGTCACATATTCATGCTTCTTCATATGCCTAGAAGTTTTTTATTAGTTAGTAGATATTGTGAATTTTGCATTGTTTTGTGCTGCATTTTGTATTTTCCTCTAAGGAATCTTATCATTTTTTGATAAGCAGCTAAGTTCTTATGGATTAGTTTGATGCTCTTAAAGTTTATTTTTAAGCAATTCTAGTGTACATCTAGAGAGCAGCCTTTATTCTAGGGCTCATTTAGCTTTACTTTTAATGTGTGAGCCTTCTGGCATTTCAACTGAATGTCCTGTGTATTTGATGAGGTCTTTCTATTCTGACTGGAGATAACTTAATTCATTTCTCTGTGTAAGCTTCAGCAACTATTTGTCTTAAAACTTCCCAGTAATTGTTCTTTCCTTAGAAGCCATTCTTTTCTGGCCTTGTGGTATTTCATTTTTACACATACATAGATATTTATCTAAAAACTCAAGGGCACCAATATGAAGACTTATGGAATTAATGCCCTCAATAGGTCCCTTCTTGGTGAAACTCTACCTGAAAATATACTTGCCTCTTTTTTCCTGAACCTTGATGTCTGGCTCCTCAGGTTAACAAGATTGTCAGGTTCCCCATGCTAGCACCATAGTTTATAAATTACCTCTTGGCAGAATGTCGGGGTAATGGTAGAGTCCCTTTCTTGTTTGCCTTCTTTCATGGTTCACATTCCTTGTGTGTTCATTTTTGTCTTTCCCATTATTCATTCATTATTATTCTGTGTGTGTTATACTATTTCAGTGATTCTCAAAATATCCATTTATGTAATAATTTTTGCAGTTGGGTCATGGTACATTTTTAGTCAAAGAGGCATGTGTGATTCATACTACTATTTTATAGTTTATATAGTCCAGCAGATTTTGCATCAAATAAAATAGAAAAATGCGTATATAAATTAATGCCTATGATCAATGCAATGACTGATATTTTAAGCAGGTTGTTTCAAATAAAAAATAAACAGTAATTAAAACTGTGACTGTTTTTTAGTGTATACTCTATACCAGCACTCTGGTATGTGTTTTGCATATATTATTGTTAATATTTCTTCCAAAAAGTTGTTATTATTCCAATTTTATAGATGAAGAAACTGAAACAGAATTGTTAAGCAATTGGCCTAAGGTTAAATAATTAGCTAAAGGTAGAGCTATAAGTCAAACTTTTCTGTTTTATTAAAAAATGATTGCTAATAATAATAATAAAATTATGTTTTGATTTTGTCTTCTATAAGTAGAAGACAATATGGATTACATATGTATTAATATAATTACATAATCTTTATTTTTGGAGGCAGAGAACAAACAAAAATTTTCCTTATAGCCATAATATCTCCTAGAGTTTTATGTGTGTCCAGTCGGAAACATGAACAACTATCATCTGGTACAGACCTTCTCTCTAATTTTGTAGATAAGGAGACAGAGGCCAAGGAATATGAAAAGATTTGCCCAAGTTGACAAAACTTGTCCAAAGCTGGACTAGCACTCAGCTTTCTTGACTCTCATTTTTTTGTTTCTAAATGACTTTCCAGTATACATATAAAATATTGGTATTTGTTTTAAGAAACAATGGTTTTATAACTGAAGTTGCATTTGTCTCTGAAACTCTTAGATAATGTGACTACAGCGAGCAGTAGGGAGGAGTACAGCATGTAAAACATGAGAGAAGGGAAAAACCATAGTAGGATATGTCATTGATTTGGCCAGCACTGTAATTGACTGCTTGATAATGTAGGTTCTTCTGAGAAGCCTTATTATTATTAAATCTGTTGGAGAACCATCTACTCAGGGGAATAAAGGGAGGAACATTTATTCATCATTCCCATTCCCATTCCCATTAGTTAAGAATGGCCCAAAGGGGTATTAACTAATTGTCCCACAGTCTGGTTTGTACATACATGAGCAACACGTGGGTTCCCATGAGTCCCAAAACACTGTGTATGAGAATCCAGGGCAGCAAGTGAGAGGGGCAAAATGATGTCAGGTTCTACCATGGGGAAGCTGGTTGAAACCTTCATGGAAACTGATTGATAAAGTAGTTGCTAGAAAAAGAAGAAAGCCCTAGAGAATTTGAAGCGCTGCATAAGAGGTGTTCAATACAGTACATTGGCTCACTGCATTTTCAAACATGTTGCTGAGAATAGATGGAGGCAGCTGCTGACTATGATTGAGGTTTCTCAGTAGAAAACCACGAGTTAGACAGGTCTCAAAAACCATGGGAAATGGGAACGCCTGAAATAAAAATAGCTTCCTCTTCCCTTTCCTTGCTCAAGTCATAGAGTCATGGATCGTAGACAATGAGCTTATCAACCCAGGACTATCTCCTGAGATGTGAGCAACAATTAACACATAACCAATTAGGCATGCTCACATATACATGTCTTTTTTGTATTTAGGTGGTCAGTTATGCAATACTAAAATGAATTGGCTTTGCAGGAATACTAGAAAGATTTAGGGGCATACCATTATTTAGAAGTATGGTCGTAAAAGAGTGAATTCAGATGAAAATAAGGTGATGGAATTCCAGAGTAATACTAAGAGTGCATTTTGTTTTGTTTTGTTTCTACACAGTTGAGTATATTGGGGAAGAATTTCATATACAAGGAGGCATTAAACCTGAATGTTGAATGATAAACAGATTTTTTTTCCAGACAGAGGAACAAGAAACATTTTAAGAAAAAGGCATGGAGTTGTCAAAGAGTGTGGCACATTAAGGAAATGGTGGAACATTTAATGGAATATAGGATGTGTGGAGGAAAGAGAAAGGCAGGCATTTAGTTATGCACAAAATAGTAGGGATCAGATTTTAGGGCCTTTATTCCATGCTGAGCTACTTGAACTTTATCTTATAAATTATACGGAGTCATTGAAAGTCTTTGAGGTGGGGCCATTGATGGATGCCAGTTTCATGGATACCTTTAAGGTTGAAACACAGGTAGGTCTCATAGGTGACTGAATAAAAATCAGCCTTATCTAAGCACACTTGTCCCAGATGTCCCTGCAGGACCACTTGATTATGTATTTGTCCTGCTGCTTTCCACCCTCAAATTCATGCTTATCTGGATTATCTCTGGAGCTTGCTGTAGCCCTTTGATTCTTCAAACACGTTTGGATGCCCTTCCCTCATTCTGTGACTTAAGTGCCTGCTCAGCCATCAGCTCCTAGATTTTAGTGTCATCTAAAGGTTGCGATAACAAATATTTCTTCCCCAAGCCTTATTTCCACATGCTCTTCTCCAATTTGTTGATTCCTCTAGCAATCCTAGCCAGAAGACAGTGGTGGTGGTGCGAAAGGCTCTGGAATTGAAGAATTGAATAGTTGTAACAGGCCATATGAACCTGAAAGCCTAAAATACTCATTATCTGGCTCTTTACAGAAAATGTTTGCTGATGCCTGCCCGGGATCAAAATCAGGCAGTTAATGAAAAGAAACTAATATGCAAGCACATTCTTGTAATGTTTTAAAATTTCAGGTGAGGAGAAAAAACATAAAAATATTTATGCAAAATGAAAGATCACCCAAAACAAAACAAATACCAGGCTGTCCCAAGACACTGTCTCTTGTAACAGTGGAGAAACATCTATGCAATTATGAAAGGAAAGTTTATGGCCTCAGACAAGTTATCACACTGGCATGAAAGCTGTAGAAAGACATCACCAAACAGCAAAGGACACAGAAAATACTTCTCTCACTTATCTTTTTTGAAGAAATACATGGATAAATAATTCAGATATCTCTGAGATGAATAAAGATAAAGAGCTTATTAAAAGAGAAGTCATAGATTGAATGGACTGGCAGATTAAATTAAAATAATTTAAACATAAATCTTGACTTAAATCACACCTCAAAATAAAGGTGAAAGAAAAAATTTAATGTAAATATCTTAAATGATTCTTGAAAGGGCAAATACACAGAGTAAAAATAATGACAGTAACATAATGATAGTAGACTAGGGCAAGAGTTCTACATCCTACTAAAATAAGTTTTGACAAGGAAAAGGATGCCATATTATGCCAATTTCCTCATCATATACGGAGTGCATACGTCTGTCTGTCTATGTGCATGTGGTATGTGTTTTATTCTTAATGCTGAAAGAGCAATATTAACAAAACAAATTTTTATTTTTACTTTTATTTTTTGAGACAGAGTCTCCCTCTGTCACCCAGGCTGGAGTGCAGTGGCACGATCTTGGTTCACTACAACCTCCACCTCCTGGGTTCAAGCAATTCTCCTGCCTCAGCCTCCTGAGTAGCTGGGGCTACAGGCATGCACCACTACATCCAGCTAATTTTCATATTTTTAGTAGAGACGGGGTTTCACCATGTTGGCCAGGCTGGTCTCAAACTCCTGATCAAATGTGATCCTCCTGCCTTGGCCTCCCAAAGTGCTGGGATTCCAGGTGTGGGCAAAATTTTTATGCAATTTAAAAATTACAACTGATATAACTTAAAATTGGATGTTCATCTTCCAAAAAACAGGGGATTTGAGTAGGGGGTGGTGGAGAAAGAAAATATAAACAATAGTATGGCAAAAGAAATTGTGGGAGTGATTACTGCTCTTTGTTGACTTCTGATTTTTCTCTACTTCCGGCTACAGAGAACATTTGTTCTGGAAGTTATATGTGCCCATGCTAATTGCTTTGGCCAACAAATGTGAGTGGAAGTTACTAGTGTCATTTTCTGGAAGAAGTACTTAATTTTCAGTGCTCTACTCTCCAGCTCTCCCTTCCCTACCTTGGCAGCTGTGAATACCTTTGTTAATAAAGGGAGATAATAAGATTGATGCACTCTGGAATGCTAAGCCAACACACAGCCACTCTGAAGAGGGCCTCGTCCCTGGGTGGCTTTGCATAAGTACTTAGTTATTTATTATTGCAGCATAATTTATCATAACTGATAAAACAAAATTTTTGAAATGACAGAAAGCACAGAAAATTAATATCACAAATAGTAAACATATCTGCTTATGATCACATACATGTGTTAAACTTATATAATTTTAAAACAGTCTTTGAAATCCAAGCTATTATCTACAAGATACAAAAAAGAAAAACCTGATGACTATAGGGAAAGATATATAAGTAGTAATAAAACTCAGTAAGGGTTACTGTATTATTACTATTTAACATTAAATAGGACAATAAGCATATATTTTCTTTATGAACTATATAAACTATAATGATAATTCAACTGTCCCAAAATTTTATGTGTGTCTAAATTGACATATAGAAAGCAAAACTATTAGAAACACAAGAAAAGATGCATATAAATAAAGTATAGCTTTAATGATAATGGAGTATCTCACCAGGAATACATAAACATCCTGGACTGTATGCACCAAAGTATACAAAGGAGGGGAAAGGTGATCAAATGTTCCAGATGCTGTGAAGTCCGTAAGTTCTTGAGATCTTCTACTTTTTAAAATTTAGCTCTATGAGGACATTGGTTACCTGGAAAAGACAATTTCAGTAAAGTGATAAGGGCAAAATTGAGTTTTCAAATATCTTAAGGATGGGAGGACAACTAATTTAGGAAACTTGGAGGAAAGGGAGAAGATAGATCATGGGCTAGGTAGGTGAGAGAATCTGAGGACAGGAAATACTCGAATATGTTACTTTGCTGAAGAAATCTGGGATAAGAAGCATAATGGGTGGAAGGTACTCCCTGTGGAAGCAAGAAAGAATGGGAACCAAAGAAAATGTCTAATCTCTCTAAATGCCTTAGGCAGAAGAAGGAAAATTCTTCCTTAGTTTAAGAGGTAAGTTCTGATGAAGATGAAGATACATTGGAAGGGTAAATTGAAAACTTGGCAGAGTACCTACTTGATGGTTTCTTCTTCATGGCTCCTAATTCTTCTCTTGCTGCCTTATGGAACAAGTTGAGTCTTTCATTTGATAGCCATTCTGGCCATGTTTGAAGATAATTACTATATCTCCTCTGAGTTACCAATTCATTGGCCTAAATATACCTAGGTCATTTAATTACTTCTTAGAATTTTGATTTTTATCCCAGATTCTAATGTAAGGAATCATCATCAGATTAGTTCTGGTGATTGCCAAAAGAGATTCCTAGAGATATTAGTAAACTAAGGAAACTTGTAATTGTTTTGCTTTCTTATGGAAAGAATAATGTAAATTCTAGAAGTGAGGGAAAAGTTAAGTTTGCTATTGTTCCTCAGCAAAACATAAAACAGATAATTAACCTGCGGGTTAATAATGCTAGAGAAGAATGTGGTGCTTAAAAAGCCAGTGTAGTTTTGCTAAGAGCAAACCAAGCCAAACTAAAGAAGATGACAGCAATTCTCTTGGGGTAATGGATCTTTTTGAGACTTACATCACTTGATCTCTCTGTAGCATGTAATGCCCTTAACACTCTATCTCACTGAAAATTGAGTTCTCCCTTAACTCCACCACTGTAGATTTTCTCTTACTTCTTTAGCTCCTTCTCAATTTATTTGTTTCCTCACTGGTCTTCTTCTCCTCACTTCCTTTTAAACAAGTATTTCTTAAAGTGTGCTCTGAAAACAGTAGATATCAGAATTCTCAGGAGTGCTAGCTAAAATGTAAATTCCTGTCCAATTCCACACCTTCAGAATCAGCATCTCAGGAAGTGGGACCTGGAAGGCTCCAATTTTATTTATCACTCAGGTGCTTCTTATATACATTAAAGTTTGAGGCATAACTTTAAATACAATTCCATCCATTTTCATGGCCACAACCACTACCTGAATGTTTATGAATTCAGTTCTGAAACAATAGAGATAAATATTGAACTCCCTTGAACATCTTCCTGTGGTTGGACAAAAGAATCCTACAAATGAAGAAGTCAAAATTGTACACACCATCTTTCCCCCTTTCCCTTTTAGGGTTATACTAACACCATCCACTTTGTCACCTATACCTAAACCTGATAAGGCATACACAATTTCTCTCTTTCTCTGTTATTCTTTGTGTCTTCCATCGACTTCTGTGTTACATCACTTTTACTTCATTTTACTTTTCTCCTTTCCATCCCTGTACATTGGCTTTATCTGGTTCTTCTTATCATATTGATAGGTGAAGCAGCTTTCTCTCTTATTTTAGGTCTTCTCTCTCTACCTTTAAACCATTTTCTACCCTATAATAAGAATAAGCTTTCTAAAATGTAAATCTGTTCATGTCATTCCCCTCCCTCCAATTAAACACTTGGATGTCATTCCATATTCCACAGAAGAAAGCCCAAACACCATGGCTTCAATGTATGATCTCTGACAGCATATAGAACCCCCTCCTCCTACCCACTTTAGTCCTGGCCATGCTGATGTATTCTGGTTTCCCAAAGGTGTTGAACTTTCTCGTGTTCTTATTTTAAAGAATCTTTTAAAAACTTGATTTTCCTCTCTTGGGATGTTCTTCCTCTACTCTTCTACTTGGCTGAATCTTACCATTCACTACTCAGCTTAAGAAGTCTGCCTGGAGTCTCCTAATATGGATTAGGTATCTCTTTTGTGTTGATAAAGAATCTCATACTTACCTTTACCACTGAATTTCTCAAGCTGCATTACAGTTTTGTTTACGTTATGATGCTCCCTATTTGACAGTGAGATCTTTGAGTGTAGGATGGTAGGGATTTAAATGGACAAGGCCATTTAGGTGAAGTTAAATGGAAGTTTTTAGGGAATTCATCTCTCCATTTCAGCAATGCAGCAGACCAAGTATGAATGTATATGGAATGGACTTTAGGTAGATTTGTAAGTCTGTTTAACCAAAGATTGATGACTCGTTGATAATCATTTGATAATATATCTATAGTAGAGTGAAACAAATTTTTGTCTTTTTTCCTGTCTTTTCAGCATTTTTATCAGTGATATGGATAAAGACAAAGCATGTATGCTTATCAAAACTGCATATCATACAGTGTTGGAAAGGATTCTAAGCCCATAGATGTAAGACAGTTTAAATGGCTCAGCAGACAGGAATATTGGCTGGCAATCCAACAAAAAAAATTAACAACCATAAATAAGCTCCAGATTTTAGCTTCAAGTCAATTTCACAAAAATAGGATGAGTGGATTTGCCCTGGCATCAGCTCATGTAAAATAGATTTAGGTATGTTTGTTGACTAGAAACATAATAAAATTCAGCAATATGAAAGAGTTTCTAGCATAGATAACCCACTATGTATTCCAACTAATATCTGAATTCTATATTGGCTTGAGTTAGTGTGGCCTTTTCTGATTCTGACTGCCAGAGGGACTTTGAGAAGCTATAGTATATGCATGCTTTCAAGGAAAAGCAACCTAGATCAATATGGTAGATAAATACTATTTTATGGAGAGATGGCAAAGTATAATTGTCATGAGCCATTGAACATTTTATTCATTCATTCATTTAACAAATATTTACTGAACACCTTACTATGTGCCAGGCACTAATCTCAGAACAAAGGATTAAGTAGTGAACAAGACAAACCATATTCCAGTTTTCATGTAATTTACATCACAGGAAGGAAGACAACAACTAAATAAACAAGATCATTTGAAATATTAACTTTCACAAAGGCAATTCTGAGTGACTATGAACACTTTGTATCAAGTATGTTGGGTCATTGGGAAAGGCCTCTCTGGGTAGACACTTGAGCTAAGACGTGAATGCCCCAGAGGATCCAGCAATGCAGTATCTGGAAGCA
Organism: Homo sapiens; assembly: GCF_000001405.40. NCBI lineage: Eukaryota > Metazoa > Chordata > Mammalia > Primates > Hominidae > Homo > Homo sapiens. The sequence continues at coordinate 106,272,485 of NC_000009.12, forward strand.
GAGTGTTTCGGGTAGAGAGAAGACTAAGTGTCAAGGCCCTTAGAATGAGGATGGGCTTGTTGTATTTGAGAAAGAGAGAAGGTATTTGTGCTAGTGTATGGTGAGCTTGGGAAAGAGTGGTTCCAAATGAATTTGAATAGAAAGGTAGGGGAGAGATTTTGTAGGGTCTTACTAATTGTGGTGAGTTTAGATTCAGTGGTAAGTCCTTAGGGGACTTAATTACAGCAGTGAAATTAGCAAATCATTTTATGGTAGAGAAAGGTTACTCTGGCTGTTGTACATAGAATGCAGGGAGCCCAATTTGAATGTAGGCGGACAGTTAGGAGCTTACTGTAGTTGTACAAGTAGGAGAGAGTGAAGTTTCTATCAAGATTGTAGCAGTTGAGATAGAAAAAGGGAAACAGATTTTAGGTATATTTTGGAGGCAGAGAAAATATACCTAAATTGCTTATAGATTAGATGTGGGGTGTGTATGGGGGTCAAATACAGAACTCAAGGGGTATCTCTATGATTTAGTCTTGAGCAATTGAGTAGAGAAGCATGCTTTGCTAAGAAATTCAGGAATATTGTTTAGGCCATGTTAATTTAAACTCAAAAAGCCGTTTCAAGACCCAAATGAAGATGTTAAGTAGACAGTTGAATGTAAGTGTCTGGATCTTAGTGGAAAGGCATTGCTGGATGCTTAGGTTTGAGATTTAACTGGATTACAAAGTGGCTGTGTATTTACAGGAAGACTTACTTGGCTGGTATTTACTTCATGTGGACATAAAATGTGGAAAGTAGGTACTGTATATAACTTTATTTATCATGGTGGCTGCCCCATAGTAAGCTTTTGTTGCCTGCCACATATTTTATTAGTTAGAATACTGTTGTCTGCAAGTTATAAAACCTTAACTGGTTTTAAAAACATGGATGATTTATAATTTTATATAATAAGAAATCATAGGGTAGGATAGCTCTAGAATTGGTTAATTCTATGGCACTGGTTAATTCTATGGCACAAGAAATCATTAAGGACCCAGTTATTTTCATCTTTGATTATGTTCTCTTCTTGGTATATCAGTATATTCCTGATTATGACAACTAAATGGTAACATCTAGTGAAGGAACAAGGTCTGTTTCTTTTCATTCATCTCTTTTATTTCACAAATGTTTTATTTAAAAAAAATTTTAGGCATTCAGAAAAATTGGAAAAAAGTAGTTTTGGAGTTTTTTTTGCCAAATCATTTGAAATTAAGTTACTGACACCATGACACTTTCTTCTAAATACTTTGACATGCATCACCAAAGAATTACAATATCATACTTAAAGACAGTACAATCATCAGACTTCAGGAGATTAACCATAATTTCATAATATCATTTCAAATCTAGTGTATATTCAAATCCTCCATTAGCTCCCAAATATCTTTTATATTTATTTTTTAAAAGTCTAAGATCCAGTGATTATGCATCCATTGTATTTGTTTACGCTCTAGTCTCTTTTTATCTAGAACAGTCCCCATACCTTTTTATTTTAGTGACATTGATGCTTTTGAACAGTTCAGGCCTTGCAATATGTACCACATACTGAATTTATCTGATTGTTTTCTTGTGGTATCATCTAAATTTTTCCTCCATTCATTGTATATCTAGACACTAGGCCTAGTGCTTGAGTAGATTTAGATTATTTTTGGCAAGATAACTTCATAGGTCATGCCATGCACTGCACATCACAGCATATCAGGGTACAATGAATGTCCTACTATTAATAAGTTTGATTATTTGATTAAGCTGGTGATAGTCATATATCCATTATAAAAGCATATATTCTCTTCAAAGTTCAGTAATCAATCTGGGGGAGGACGTGATAATTTGCCAGCATGCTGTTCCTCAGCTAGTGATTTTAGCATCAATTGATGATACTTACTTGGATTGATTATTACATTGGGGGTTACAAAATATTGTTCTAATTCTGCCTTTTTCACATTTATTTTTCACATTTATTTATTCACATTCTATCTTTTTCACATTTATTTATTTGTAATTTTCTTTAAAAAAGATAACTTCGGCCAGGCGCGGTGGCTCACGCCTGTAATCCCAGCACTTTGGGAGGCCGAGGCGGGCGGATCACGAGGTCAGGAGATCAAGACCATCCTGGCTAACACAGTGAAACCCCGTCTCTACTAAAAAACACAAAAAATTAGCCGGGCGTGGTGGCGGGCGCCTGTAGTCCCAGCTACGCGGGAGGCTGAGGCAGGAGAATGGCGTGAACCCGGAAGGCGGAGCTTGCAGTGAGCGGAGATCGCGCCACAGCACTCCCGCCTGGGCGACAGAGCGAGACTCCGTCTCAAAAAAAAAAAAAAAAAAAAAAAAAAACTTCACTTTTTACTTAAATGTTCCTATGGATTCATACATTTATTTTGAATAAAATGTTATGGTTGATTATAGTGACTGCTCTTTTGGATGCTTAAATTGACCCCAGTTTTGCCAGTGGCAACACCTTTGAGCTGGCTTTGGTGCTCTTTTGATGTTATTCCTTTAGTTTTCTGGCAAAATAAAGTATCTAGGATTAACCTTTGTACTTTTCTGTCCTAGACATAGAATTAGGCATTTTTTTTCAACAAGGTGTTATTCCCGTAAGTGGGGACTGGCAATTAGAAATCAAGATATATACTAGGTGTGCTTATTGATGGTGGCTTATCAGTCATTCTAACCTCTGTTAGTGGAAAGAGCTGGCATATGTTATAGGCCTTCAAAAAGTTCTTGGAAAATGTGTATTATGAAAAACTATGCATGGATTTTAAAATTTTGCACCAAAATAAACTCATACAACTTGTTATAACATGCATGAATAAGATCTAGTTTGAAGTACTCAGAAGGCTGAGATGGCAGTTGAAGAGAGCACCTATTAGAGTAACATAAATTCTGCTAAAATTCAAGCAAAACAAACATTAAATTTATGATGAAGCCTGGGTGGAAGAATATGAAATCATGGTTGCTTTACAAAAGGTTGCTGGGAGCAATGTCCCAAATAAATGAGCAGTTTACAAATGGATGACTTGTTTTAAGAAGAAATGAGACAATGTTGAAGATGAAGCCTGCAGTAGCAGGCCATCCATATCAATTTGCAAGGGAGAAAATTATCTTGTTCATGCCCTAATTGAAGAGGACCAATGATTAATGGTACAAACAATAGCCAACACCGTAGACATCTCAATTAGTTAAGTCACAATTCTGATGGAAAATTAAAGTTGAGTAAGCTTTCCCCTCAATGTGTGCCAAAACCATTATACTCAGGTTGGCTGCAGACAAGCGCAGAGCTTTCAATGGAAATTTTAAGTGAGATGAAGCTCCTGAAGCATTTCTTTGAAGAATTGTAACAGGAGATGAAACATGGCTTTATCAGTACAATTATGAATACAAAGCACAATCAAAGCAATGGCTACCAAGAGGAGGAAGTGGTCCAATAAAAGCAAAAGTGACTGGTCAAGGGCAAAGGTCATGACAACAGTTTTTGGGGATGGTCAAGGTATTTTGCTTGTTGACTTTCTGGAGGGCCAAATGATTATAACATCTACTTATTACGAGAGTGATTTGAGAAAGTTAACCAAAGCTTTAGCAGAAAATGCCCAGGGAAGCTTTTTAAAGAGTCCCTCACCACAACAATGGTCCTGCTCATTCCTCTCATTACACAGGGTAAGAGTTTTGATGAGAAATCACTAAGCATCCACTGTGCAGTCCTGATTTGAATTCTTCTGACTTCTTTTTGTTTCCTAACCTTAGAAAAACCTTTAAGGGGGTACTCATTTTCCTTCAGTTAACAATGTAAAAAAGACTGCATTGAGTTGATTAAATACATAAGACCCTCAATTCTTTAGAAATGGACTAAATGGCTGGTTTCATTGGTTACAAAAGTATCTTGAACTTGATGGAGCTTATGTTGAGAAATAAAGTTTGTATTTTAAATTTTTATCTTTTAATTCCATTTTCTGTAAGATTTCGAAGTCCCCTCATGTGTTAGTGTAATCTATATAATCATAAGTTTGTTTTGATATTTTCAATTTAAATCTATCTAGCATTATGCTGTCTTATTTTACTTTATGTTTGTATGTTTTCTTATAGTAAATATAAATATATATGCAACAAATTATAATACACGTAAATTAACTTAAAAATTATAATACCAACAATGCTGTTAAAAAATTCTACTGAGTGAATTTTTTTAAGATTTCTTTGTAGTTCTTTTTGGTTTTAGAATATCACTAAAGATATATAATCAGATAAATACAATATATTGACATGATTGTGACTATGTTATCGGTTTGATATAGAGTATGGAGTTATGTTCAGTTGGTCTGTGTCTTTTTTAGAAGCAAAGAAAACTGATTTTTTTATAAAAATGATTTTTGTAATGATAGTTTCCATTTCCATACCCATCAGCAACATATGAAAAAGTCCTCTTCACCACAGCTATACTAACTTTGGGGATTTGTATTTTTTTCATGTTTTAATGTAGAATGGCACATGTACATGTAGTTAGTGAAGTGGCCTAGAAATTCATAACAATTGTCACAATAATAAGTGTAAAACAAGATAGTGATATTACCAAACATCCATCTCCCTTCTTCCTTCCTTCCTTCCTAGAAGATCTGTATGACCTCTTTTCAAGTCTCATGGTCAAGGAAATGGGATTTTCAATATTGGTCTTAACTAATCAGTATTTATTTCTGAGTCACATGGAGGACAGATGGAAACCAGGACAAAATCTAGCCTCCATCAGCAAGGAAGAAGGGAGAGGGATGTTTGACTGGCAACATCGCTATCTTTTACATTTATTATTATGACAATTTTTGTGAATTTCTAGGCCAATTCACTAAATACATGTATGTGTACCATTCTACATTAATATGTGAAAACATACAAATCCCCAATGTTAGTATAGCTGTGGTGAAGATGATTTTTTCATATGTTGCTGGTGGGTGTGGAAATGGAAACTATCATTGCAAAAACCAGTTTTATAAGACATTTATATGGTTTGGTTTAAAAAACTTATTTGCCCTTGTCAGGTGGAAATAATCCAAATAATTCAAACAAATTAAATGGCTATGTAGTCAAATGGTTAATTAAATCATAATGCTTGATGGAAGTGTGGCTCCATCAAATATGATAATTGTGGAAACCATGTAGTAACTCATGTAATATGAAATGTGTTTAAATGTGTTTTGGAAGGCAAATGGGGAAAAAAACAAAATATAAAAGTATGCCTATGCAATAATTGTAACTTAAGAATTATATCTGCACGTAGGCAAAGGCTAAAACAGAACACAGGAAAAGGAAGTCAGTTTGATGGGGATGGGTGGATGGTGGACTGTAGGTAAATTTCTAATTTTATTTAGAGTTTTGTTAATGTTTGTCAACTAAAAACAAACAAACATAGGCAACTGAGGGGGAAAATCTCTCCCATGTTCTGAACTCAATAAGATTCATCTGAGCTCTTAAGCAGTTCTGAATCTTCTTTTTGAGAAAAATCTAACTGTAACTGCAAGCACTTTCATAACCTACCTCACCCACGTCATCTGGGAAAGTATAAGTCAGATTCCACAATTACCCCAACAGAATGTCAATTGTGCCACTGGAATGTCTCATATCAAAAGCCGTTGGAATTTGCTTCGTTTAACCACATAGAATAACTGTACCCTTGGTGCTGCCAGAAAGCTCAGTCTGCGATTGATTGCTGTAGTTCTCTCCCAGAGCACAGTTGAGTTGATTGCTTTTTTGAGAAAGCCTCTAAGGGATTTGCTGTCTGTGTGCCTATTGGGCTGTCTGTGCCCCTGGCTGGAGCAGAAACTGAGGAAGGAAGATCCTACGGCTCATCAAGTAAAACGGTCTTTTGGGGAAGAAGCATTCTTAGAAATGCTGCACCAAGAGTTGGAATTGAGAATTCAGAAAACATGATAGAGAAGGAACAGGAAGAAACCATTTGGACATCCAAAAATAAAAGGCCAGGTAATGGAAACATAGAACTCAGCAGAAAATGAGATTATCAAAGCATGTATGTGAGGACATTTCTTTTATGTAGGTCCTGGCCAGAGCAGAGCTAGCCTTTCCAAGTTTCTAACTCAGCCTAGATAAGTAACAGAGGCCCAAGAAAATGTATATGCAATACTTGTGGGTTATATTTGCTTTGTATTATATTAGTTTTGTATTTGTATATTAGCATTTTAGAATTGCCTTCAATTAGTACCAATTTAGTATTTTTTCCCTTTGCTTTAACGAGGAATCTCCATAAGACATAGTTAAGTGAGGACTGTTGCTTTATCTTCTGTAAAGCCACACTGAAGACATCATCTGTTGTTTTACTCAACATCTAGGTGATGAGTTCTTCTTATAACTCTGTGATAAATAAATGCTTGTTTGGAGTTCTTCTTAAAATGCAGAGCCAGGAAAACATTTCTCTCTTCTCATGTGCTGATTAATTTCCTTTTATCCTACAGCAAGAACCATGAAACTATAATTTTAATTTTTGTCTTGCTTTGAGTGCCAGGAAGCTCACAGCTAAATGTAATGCTTAGATACTTTCCTAACAGTTGGTGTCAGGTATAATGATATTTTCTTTTTTTTTTTTAAGAGACAGAATCTCACTTTGTTGCCCAGGCTGGTGGTCTCTAACTCCTGGACTTAAGCAATCCTCCCGCCTCAGCCTCCCAAAGTGCTGGGATCACAGGTATGAGCCACCATGCCCAGCTATGATCTCCTATGCTGTTTTTGTCATCTTGTTATATAAATTTTGACTGTTCAATTTTTATATTTGCTCATTTTCGAGTCCCTTAAAAAATTTTAAAGGGGGAAATATACTATCTGTAAATAAATATTTAATGGATATACTATCTGTAAATAAATATTTAATGGAAAATTTGAAGACAGCAATTCATAATGGAAAGAAAAGGGTTTTGGCTATAATACAGGTCTGAGTTTATATTCTTATCCCTCTGTAGGCTTTGTGAGTTTGGGCATATTGCTAATCCTGATTAATACTTAATATTCTCTTTTGGAAAATGGAGGTAAGTGGTCAGATAAACACATAAACTTACTGTGTGGATTAAAGATTGTTTTCTCTCCCTATGAACAAGGCCCATTATTGTAGCATGGAAAAGAAAAGACTGAAGGGAAATACAAATGTTGTCATGAAATACAGGAAGGGCTATCATGTTTCAAAGGGCCAGCAGAGCTAGGACTAGTAGATCAATGTAATAAAAGGTTGGATTTTGATTCCAAAAGAAAAAGCAATTCTCTCACTATTAGATCATTCTAACAATGAGATGAGATTCTTGTCACTGCAAGTGATGAGCACCATCTGGAAGAGCAGTCTTGAGGTATCTGACACAGAGTTTGGGCACTGGATGGAACATTGTCCCAAGTGCTACATGAAGCTCTGCCCAACTCGGAGTGTTCTTACTATACCACCTTTAACCTCCTTAAATCTGTTCTTACCAACCAAATTGATTACATCAGACCATGGTCTAACCAGGCATACCAAAACATCTTAAAAGGTAAGTTCATTGTTTGAGGGTCATTTTTCAGTTTTTTAGAGTAATCTATATCTAATATCCTGCTGACATTGAGGAACTCATGAAGAACTTATCCAAATAAAAGGAACCTAGAGTTAAAGGCAGATATTTCTGATTGAACTCAATATGTCTGTAAATAAACTCATTAGTGATATACCTTTCACACTTTTTTTTAATCCTGCAACTTTACTGAATTTGGGTTTATCAGTTATAATAGTTTTTTTGATGGAATCTTCAGGGATTTCTATATGTAAGATTATATTATCAGCAAACAGATACAATTCACTTCTTCCTTTCACATTTGGATGTTTTATTTTTTTCTCTTGCCTAATTGCTCTGACTAGGACTTCTGGTACTATGTTGAATAGAAGTGGTAAGAGTGGCATCCTTATCTTGTTCCTGATCTTAGAGGAAAAGCCTTCAGTTTTTCACCATTGAGTATGATGTTAGCTGTGGGCTTGTAATATATGTCATTTGTTTGGTTGAGGAACATTCCCTCTATACTTAATTTATTGTGAGTTTTTATCATGAAAAGGTGTTGAATTTTGTCAGATGCTTTTTATACATCTACTGAGATGATCATATGGTTTTTCTTCTTCGTTCTGTGAATATGGAAATCACCTGTATTGATTTGTATATTGAACCATCCTTGCATCTCAGGGATAAATCCCACTTGGTCGTGGTGAATGATCATTTTAATGTACTGTTGACCATGGTTTGCTAGTATTTTGCTGATAATTTTTGTATCTATGTTCTTCAGGGATATTGGCCTATAATTTTCTTTTTTGGTAGTCTCTTTGTCTGGCTTTAGTGTCAGAGTAATGCAGCCATCATAAAATGAGTTTAGAAGTATTCCCTTCTCTTTAATTTTTTGGAAGAGTTTGAGAAGGATTGATATTAGTTCTTTAAATATTTGATAAGGGCTCAAGCCATCAGGTCCTGGGCTTTTTCTTGATGGAATACTTTAAGTTACTGACTTAATTCCCTTGCTAGTCATTGATCTGTTTAGATTTCTGATTTCTTCATGATTCAGTCTTAGTAAACTATATGTTTCAAAGAATTTACTCATCAGTTTTAGATTGCCCAATTTGTTTGTGTATAACTGCTTATGGTAACCTCTCATGATCCTTTGTATTTCTATATTATCAGTTATAAGTCTCCTCTTTCATTTTTGATATTATTTGTCATGTATCATTTTTCTTAGTGTAATTAAGGGTTTGTCAATTTTATCTTTTAAGAAAACCAATTCTTAATTTCATTGATTTTGTGTGTCATTTTTATAGTCTTTATATTTTCATTTTTTCTCTTTGTTATAACATTCTTATTTTTTGAATTGTAAATTGACAAATTATAGTTGTTTATAAAATGATAGGGTACAAAGTGATATTATGATACACTTCTAATTTTGTTCCCAGACATTCTGATTCAAAATTTGAAGGTAAGTTTTGAGCCCTCCTTCATGGAGATCTACCATGTAAAACCAGTAACCACAACCTATCTAGTCTTCCTTTGAAATGCTTTTACATCTACCTTGTCTTTTCCAGCTTGGCCCAGTGAAAGGATGTAGACATTAGGACCACATTCTCCTTGTTTCAAACCTCAGTTCTAACCCTTTCCACCTAAATGACCTTGGGCAGTTATTTAACTCATGAGCCTCTGTTGGTACATCTATAAAATGGGCTCATTCATAGGGCTGTTGTAGTGATTACACAAAAGAATGTATGTAATTCACCTAGCATAGGGCTGTGTATGTAATATCTGTTCAATAAATATTAGTTTTCTTTCTTCGCCCTTACCTTCTCTAGAAGTTTCTCTGATTATATTAGTCCAGAATGTTGATATTGTTCATCTGGCAATAAATTACAGATTATCTTGAAGTATTTCATAGAAGCATTTTTTTTTTTTTTTTTTTGAGATGGAGTCTTGCTCTGTGGCCGAGGCTGGAGTGCAGTGGCATGATCTCGGCTCACTGCAAGCTCCGCCTCCCAGGTTCATGCCATTCTCCTGCCTCAGCCTCCAGAGTAGCTGGGACTACCGGTGTGTGCCGTCATGTCTGGCTAATTTTTTGTATTTTTAGTAGAGACGGGGTTTCACCATGTTAGCCAGGATGGTCTCAATCTCCTGACCTTGTGATCTGCCCACCTCTGCCTCCCAAACTGCTGGGATTACAGGTGTGAGCCACCACACCTGGCCCAGAAGCATTTTTATTATTACTTAGCTTGCAGTGTTACTAAACTATAAGCCCTGTTTATTCATTTATTAATTCAGTCATTTACTTAATATCCATTTATTTAAAAGAGACAAAGCTTAAGTCACTGATTGACATTGTAAATGTGTATACGGGAATTATATTCTTAAGGGGTGTTCTTCCTGGTACCAGGCACATATGCTCATATATATCAAAGGAAAGACTGAATGAATGAATATTTTAAGTATCACAAATTAATGCTATGACTCAAGGTAAGATGGATAGAAGGAATGAAAGTTTGGAAAGAAAGGAGATCAATGAAGTGATAGTCACAAAAGACTGGGATAAAACAAATTTCTGGAGTAAAGAAATGACTATATAGAGAGAGATAACCAAGGAGATAATTTAGGTAGAACATATAGATTTTGGACAGGGTAGTGATTCTAGAGGTTGATTCATCAGAAATTATCAGTGGTTATCAGGAAGTTAGAAAGAAAGGAACAGTCAAATATAAAATCAGTATTTTTAATGTTAGTGGACTTATGGTCCTCATATGCCCTGAAATGACAAATGAGGATTTTGGGGAGGGAAGATTAATTAAATTCTAAATGTTTTTGGTTTTAGGTGGTGCTGGGACATTCAAAAGAAGTGTTAGTGAAAAATATGGGACAAGATCCCAGGAGAGCAGTAAAAGATGTAGGAAGAATTTATCCTAGAAAGACAATGTGAAGAAAGAAATTTCAGTTAGAAAGAATAAACAGGCAAAAGCCTAAAGGTTCAAAGAGCCAGCACCCTTTAGCTTTCTCTATGTAGGATGATAAAAGGAATGCAGAGTGTGCAGGGGGAAGGGTAGGAGCTGAGGCAAGAACTGTAAGATAGGGCTGGTCATAAAGGACCACTTATGCAAGGCAAAGGATTCTGGAATATGACTTGTAGTTGATGGAAAGCCATTCAACATGCACATGGGCTGATCATCACATCAGGGAATGTAGGAGGGAAGAAATCTAGAAGTTGAATTGGGAAGTAGATCACACAAGCCCCAAGATTTGAGTTGAAATCCTCATTTTCAAATGAGCTTTTCTATATTCTGATATTGAAATTCCACAAGTGCTTCCCTATTATTAGACCCAATTAAGTGTTCTGCTCTGAATAAAAATCCTTTTTTCTTCTTCTTCCTCTCCTATTCTTCCTTCACCTTCTTCTTGTAAGAGAGAAAATGGAATAAGGTAACTTTTCTTACTCAAAACACCTCAACAAACTCTAACTCTGGATTCTGAAGGAGGGGAGTCATTTTTCAAAGTCATCTGGGGAGATTCTACATGAGATGTTGTCAACAGAGGAAAGCCACCCCCTTACCCCTTACTGCTCTTGAGTATCAGTCGGTGAGATAGTGGAGGATTTCTGCGACAAGAGACAGTTATGGATTTCTCTTCAGATAAGAGTTCTCTGGCACAAATTCTGGAGTTCCTGTTTCCTAGGGACACCTCCTCCTTGGTTGTGGTTGCACCTGATCTAATGATTCTATAATGAGCAGCAGCATGACATTGCCATCTTATATCTCTGACCCGAATGTGAATGTGTTACCAACAGAAAGGAAACTCAGGAAATGAAAACAGAAAGGATTCTATTATCAGGCCAACATGCCCACTGTTGCAGTGCTATGAACGCCTTATTGACATTCCTATTCACGTCCAACCCCAGCGTAATTAATCACTGGTGCATTTGCTATCCCAGGCTACAAAGATATGTCTTGAAGCCTTTTCAAGTTTCTTCCAAGCTTCTTGCCTTGGCATTTTCCCAAGCTGCTTCTTGAAGAACAGCAAGCTGGTATTTGGAGCATATGGCGATGGTCTGTTTGTGTGTTCATTAAATCAAGATACCAATGAAAAGAAAGCAGAAAGCTTTCTGTCCTTTAAATGAAATTGTCAACCCAGATATCTGCTGCCTCTCCCAAGTCCTGGCCTGAAATGCCTGGCAAGTGGGGCTGTGTTATAATGACAAATTAATTCATATCAGACTTTGATCATGGCCTGAAAAGTTTTCTGACATCAATTTTCAGTAGTTGCCTTTAGAAAATCAGAATACACTTAGGTGCCTCCAATTTTTAACAACAAAAGCAAAGACATCTTGCCCTATTTGGAGTGTCAACCTCTAACATGAGGACGAGAGGATAAATTTTAGGATTGTCGCAGCTATGTGGAAAAGGAAGGTGATGCTGGTGCATGGTCAAAACCCATCAGGAGGGGGCTCTCTTGCTGATGGGAGGCCTATGCACAAAGAGTGCTGTAGCTGCCTCTCTCTCCTTCATTTTCCCTTCTCTTTCCTTCTGCCATGTAACATGTCAAAAGCAAATGAAAATTGAGAGGATTCGGCTGAAAATAGAATTGAATTCTATTAGTCAGCCTAATAATGAAGGTGCATTTGGAAATACAGTGCAGTATAGCTAATGTTTACCACTTGACTACTCGTGCCCCAGGCTCAAAATGCATAATGATGCAAATTAAAACCCAGCAAATGGAGAAGCTGGAATCTCAAAGATAACCATACCTAACACAGGGTATGACAGAACATCTGCTCTTTAATTAATCTTACGTAAAGACTGAAGCACTGCATAAGGTGCACAGTGTTTATGACAACTGTTTTTTTTGTGGTTAACATGCTCCTGGACTCCCTCATGTAATTGTTGCAGCTTTGTAACTCACACAAAGCCCAGCTGAACAACCCCCATCAGCCAGAAAGGAAAATATGTGCAGGAAGGGTACTGAGATGAGAATATGAAGATTTCAGGATATAAATCAGGCCAGTCCCCAGTTGCAATGTTCATTCCTTACTTGTGGGGTTGGACTGGGTGGTGGAAACTTAATCTGAGTATTTTATGTTTTAATATGGGAAATTAACTGTGTATGTGTTTGCATACACACATATGTATAAAATATATTTATATATTATATTTTATACTTTATAAAGAGCTCAAAGAGCTTGAACATATAGTACAGTGATTACAATTATAGGCTTTGGGGCCAGCCTGGTCTGTTAGAATATTGGTTCTTCTGTTTCCTAAATCTGAAATATTGAGTAAGTCACTTAACCTCCCTTTGCCTCAGTTTCCTCATCTGTGTAAAAGGCCTAATAATAATTCCATTACCATGTGCTAGGCCTAAATGTATTACTTCATTTACATGAATTAACTTATTTAATTTTCCCAATAACCCTATCTCATAGTGAATAAGCTAATATGTGTGAAACTGTCAAAACTATGAGTGATACATTTTTAAGTGTGCAATAAGTATTAGCTATAATAATTATCATGACTTTATAAGTCATCTAAAAATATATATTATTATTAAACACTGACTACTACTCTGTAAGAATGGGTCTGTTAGTTTTCCCCAACTTTATAGCTGTCAACCGAAGCTCAGAATGATTAATTCAGGTTCCCAAATCTACTCATTTGGAGAGTGACAAAACAAGGATTCTAGCCCCAGATCATCTGACTTTAAATTTTGTGCTTTAAGCTTTTCTTCTGAAATTGGAGTGATGGGTAATTGTAGAAATTGAGGGGGTAAAAAAGAGGAGAGCCATTTGAAATCCATTGTAATAATGTGTCTGTTCAAATCAGTCCTACCAAATCAAGCATGCTCAGCTGTAAAGAAAATGGAGGTGATCTCAGATGTCAAAACACTTCCCTGTGAATATTACTATTTTGGACACTGGCCATTTTAAAAATTTCAATATTCATTTTTTTCCTCAACTGCTATTTCGTATTCCTGTGGTATTTATTCACCAAACATGATGTTAAGATTATGAAAACGATGAGGAGTCAAGGTCTTAATTTTGCTCTGACACGGAATCTATTCCTATTTCATATACAGGTTGGCTGTTATTTTCTAGCAGATGCTTTCAGGTTGATGCATATAAAATTCACACACTGTGTAGAATTAAGTAGAGGGGGAAAGGGGAATAGGAAAAAAGGATGAAGGGAGAAGTGAGATGCTTATTTTTTTTTGACACCAAAATTGAATCTTTCAGTGTAAGGATTTCAAAGTACTGACAACCATTCTCCCATTTGCTGGGTGAGCTTCCTTTTGTGGTATTATTTCCCCATGGATATTGAGAGTCTTTCTGAGATGAGCACAAGAAGCTAATCACAAACAAACAAAGAGAAGATTGGTAATGCTGATTCCCAACCACCTTGTTCCTTCCACTGGAGGGGGCTCTCTCAACCCCTTCTCTGAGGATGTGAAAACAAACCAGATGGGTGTGCTATCTCCATCTTTTGGCCTTTAGCAGAGTCTCTGGAACAAAGCAGGGCAGCAGGGCTTCTTGAAGACTTGCTTGGAGAGAGAGAGAGAGGCTGGATGGAATCTTGAATAAAAATGATAGGTTATGCTTTAAGCTGAATAAAAATAAGCCATCTGAAGAATATATAGAAGTGGCATGCATGCTGCCTCTGGAAAGATTCATTTTTATTTGTCTATCTATGTATAAAGGAGGAAGATAGATAAATGGAAAGGGAAGTGCCGTTTCTGTAATGTTCACTCTGGTGAAGGGTTTGCAAACAGTATAAAAATAGTGGCTCTTCCAAAATGACGGCTTTACTTGAAGTTTATCCACCTCTCTCCCCCTTGCTCATACCCCTCACCAAAAAAAAAAAAAAAAAAAAAAAAAAAAAAAGAAATTCAAAGCTAGCATAGTCACTGTGGGGAAAAGACAGCGATCTTTTGTATGTTGTTATAATTAACCAGGCCCATTTCATCATCAGATTATAGAATGGGATGCAGTGTTAAAAAAAGAACTAAAGGAAGAAACCAGGAGAAGTGGCCATTTTAATTGCATGTTTATTCTCTCTTCGCTTTCCCAAATTGGTTTCGTTTCCTCTGAGTGGGGTTAGTGCCAGGGTATTCACATGAGCAGGGGCCAGGGTGGATTCCAACATTTACCAGCATTTGAATTACCTCCGGACGGTTTGGCGGCCTCTAAATTTATACCCTTGAAGGCACAGCAACAAGCCTTCATCTCCTATGGAAGAGACTTGAAAGCATGCCAGAACAGGACCTCGTCTTCCCTTCTTAGAGTCCTGGCACGTAGAATCACACAAGAAAACAAAAGGCATTTGTGAGGAGCCGTCCAGGAAGAAAGATTAACAATATAAACCGAGGGGGGAAAGAGAAAGAAAAGAAAAAGCCCTTTAAAATGGTTTTGTGCTTATTTTAATAGAACTTGCACAGTCCCTGAATATCCTCTAATCAAAACCAAATGCTTGTTGCTGTACAGCACTCTTTCTTTGTTCACCGGCAATGCCCACTCTGCTTTGCTTGGGGGGTGGGGCCGGGGCTGGCTGGCTTATCTTTCCACCAGGAATAAACAATGTTGTCCTCAAGGTTAGGGCATGTGGCTGATTCAGAAACCCTAGGGAAAACACCCATTGGCAGCTGGACCTTGTTCTTCAGTCACCCCAAATGCCTGATGAAAAACTTGAAGATTTTTTATGCCTTTTGATCCTGAAATTTGTCGAGGAACAGGAATAGAAAAAGGAGCTACTTCTTCCCAGCACCCCCATCTCTGTCTCTCCTTCGCTCTGTCAGTCCATCTGTGCATCTCTATCTGGGTGCTTTCGTCTTTCTTTCTCCACTCCTTTCCCCTCGCATCCTTTCTCTGGCTACCTCTGTCTCTCTGTCGGTCTTTGGTTCACTACAAAAAATCGGTCAGCGTCCGACTTGATTGGCTAATGTTGTCTGACCTTGACTTTATGTGGGTTGGAAGGATTTCAGCTTTGGTTTTTATCAGGATTAGCTTTTTATCTGCACAGAAGTACCTAAGCAAGTAACTCATCTCCTCATCTTTCACCTTAGACTTGCTGCTTTCTCCTCCAATTTCTCAAGCAACGTGCAGAAAATAAACAGTGATTGTGATGGTTACAGCAATAGGACTTTTACTACAGGGCAGAAGGGATGAAGCCACAATCTAGTCCCGGGCTCAGGAGCCATGTCTTTGGTTTATACCGGGTGATGTTATTAAGGGAGTTGGCAGCGTATTTTGTTTTTAACGCCAGCTAATTCTTTTCAAATGCTTACGGGGTGTCCAAGCATCCTGCAAGTGGGGAATGGGAAAGAAGAAACCCAAATACACAGGATCTGTACCTTTTCATGTCGCCCCAGCTCCTTGCAGCACAAATTGACTTCGTAAGATTGGCTCTGAAAATGAATACCCAGGACATCACTCTGTGTTACTTTCCTGTGAAATTACTTTTCTGAATGAAAATATTGAATTCCTTTGAAAGCAAGTAGTATAATATCTCTGGAAATGAAAATCCTGTGGAAATCACAAAGGAAAGAAGGCTGAAGGATATGAAAGCTTTATATCTCTAAATGTTAGTGAGGCCCTGGATTTTTTTTTTCCTTGACAGCAATCATAACTGCTCTTTCTAATGTTGATACACTGGGTGCTGGGATCTCCTAGATGCTTCTATTACAGATTTATGTTTTATCTACCATAAACAGCCAATATCATTATCTTAATTTACTACAGCATTTGTATGCAGTCGCTGCTTTTTGTAGTCTACTTGCTTAGGAAGTCTGACCTGCGGAATTTTCCTTGTCTCAAGGGGAACGTATTGACTTACTGCCAGGTGTCTAACCATCACAGACAGCGCCGCTGCTGAACTGACAGATGAACTGGGCAGACTCTTCTGAGGAGGCAGTGGCATGGAAGACAGTCTCCTCATACTGCGTCAGCTACCTGGTTGCTCACCATTGTCCCTCAGATCATCTTGAGAGGGACAACCTCCACCCTTCTTGTTACGTTGACAGGTTCACCAACTATAGAGGGAACTTCCTGCAAGTAAAAGTACTCTCTATAAAAATACGTTCCCCTTTCTATCTTCTCACTCACATAAGTTCCTCTAGGCTCCATGAGTTGATGGGCCTTACATTACATTTGGTGCCATTTATTCTTCTCTTTGTTTGTTTTGAGACGTAGTCTCACTATGTTGCCCAGGCTGGAGTAAAATGGCACGATCTTGGCTCACTGCAACCTCAGCCTCCTGGGTTCAAGTGATTCTCTTGCCTCAGCCTTTTGTTTGTTTTTTCTTAAAGAGCAAGGTGTCCATTGTCAACTGAATAAATTATAAAATGCCTCTTTCAACTTCTCCTCAGATCAGCAAAAAAACAGGCAAGAAAGAGAAGAACTAACATGAAGGGGAGGATATGGAAATCCAAGGCAACATGATTCCCAGGGAGTGTTACCTTTCTGTAAAGGAGATGGAGCCCTCTGTCCAGATGGAATGTCAGGACTGCTTGACAGCTGAGAGAGGCTGTGGATTAGATGGCTGTGGCACTGTCAGCCATGTTTGAGGAGTGTGGAGAGCCATGGCTGGCAGGTGGCCGAGCCAATAGCTTGACTTCCAAAAGCTTTACAACACTTGAAGAAGCTTTTGATTCTTACATAGGTAAATAAAAAAAGAAAATGTTTGAGCAATTAAAAAAGATATGGTGATCTTTGAGGGTTAGCTCACCATCCTTAAGAACAAATTAAGACCTATCACCTTCATTTCATCTTGTGAATAGAATCTTTGCCATTTATGAAATCCTATAGTTACAAGAGTAGTATATGTGAGCTAGGTGAAATCTATTTCTTACCTAGTAGTATGTTTCAGCTTTGTAAAATCTCAAAGATGAAAACAGGGCTTGACAGTTTTCTATTTGGTGGATGTATAATGGTTGGTACCCAATGAGTGTTGCAATAGCTCCTGGGGGGAGACTCCTGGGGACTCAGTAAACCTTAAGGGCCTTGGTCCTGCCCAGGCCAATAATTTTATCAGACTTAGGTAAATACTTTTTGTTAAGGATGCAGATGACATGAAACTGGAGGAAAGAATAAAGAATATGTTTTATGTCAAAATTAGGTATCGGCTTTTAGGGCAGTGAAAATACTCTGTATAGACACTACACTGATGTATACATATCACTATACATTTGTCCAAACCCATAGAATGTACAATAGCAAGCGTGAACCCAAATGTAAATTATGGACTTTCATTGATAATGGTAGGTTACCATAGGTTCATCAATTTTAACAAATGTGCCACTCTGGTGGGGATGTTGATAATAGGGGAGACTGTGCATGTGTGGGGACAAGGGTATGTGGGCAATCTCTGTACCTTCCTCCCAATTTTACTGTGAACGTAAAACTGCTCTAAAGAAATAAAGTCTTTACAAAAGAGGGAGCAAGACAGAGAAAAAAAAAAGATGATTTCCAGGGACTGGAGACAGGAGGGAATAGGAAGCTAGTGTTTAGTGGTATATAATTTCAGTTTGGGATGATGCAAAAGTTATGGTGATGGATGGTGGTAATGGGCACACTACAACGTGAATATACTTCATGCCATTGAACTGTATACTTAAAAATGGTTAAGGTGACAAATTTCATGTGATGCATATTTTACCACAATAGGAAAAAACACATGGTTCTTCAGTTGGCTGATAAACAACAATAACAAAAACGTAGGTATCAAAAAATATTAACAAACTGGATCGATGGAATTTAACATGGATAATGGGAAGTCTAATACTTCCCATTAGAATAGAAGTATGGCTTAATGTGAAACTTAAAACTTTATATGGAAAAAAGAGAAAATTTGGGTAAACCCAGTCAATGTGAGAAGTTCCTGATTATTCTGCTTCTGCTTCCACCAAAAGTTTCCTAGAGGACGATGTTCAGCACAAGTCCATCTCTTCAAATATGTGGTTAGTCATTCCTTTGGATCTCCCATACCTTCTTTTAAATTATTCTAAAAGATCTCATAATTATACCCTAAATTTATAGATATATCACTATATAATTTTATATATTCATGTGTTCCAGCAGATAATTAGTGCTCAAAAATATTTATCGATTAAATTGCAAAATTATTTAAGTTCCATTGTTTCTTTGTGTAGCCTATGCTGCCTTCATCATAGGCACTTTGGCCTGGGACGTGCCTTCTTTGTACCTTCATTTGCAGAAACCTTTCAATGTCCTAGTAAAATACAAATGAGAATTTATATCCTAAGTTGAACTTCTGATATTAATTGTTTTATAGTTAGTATCTTTAAAGCCATTTGGTCAGGGTGAGGCTTGTCATCAATTAATGTTTTTCAAGTGTATATATATGATTCCAATCTCCTATGTGTTGGAGATCAAAAACTCAAGTGTGAAGACATTCCTTGGTATAATTAGTGGCTAAAGTCTTTAAAACAGATGCCAGACAAAAATAAATACATCTTAAATAATTTTTCAATCAAGTAATGGCATGGAAGGAAGTTAGGGTATTTAGCCACTTTTGGAGGATATCACTGTCTGTATTTAATTTATAGTTACACAAAGTTAGACTTATTTGATAATTATATAGAGTGAGAGGTAGAGTGAACAGAGAAAGAATTATAGATGATAAATCAGCTTCTGCAATGTGGCCACAGGGTTGATGGCTATGGGTTATACTTAATCTTAAAATTTTCTTTCTATGCTTAAATAAATTGAAAATAGTTAACAGTGAAGTGAGTGCCATCATTAATCTGTGTAGCTATAGAATCATAAGCAATTAATATAAAGAGAGAAAATTTCAATGCAGAACAACACAAAAACAGCACAAATGCATTTCATTTACAAGGCATTAGAGAAACTACGGGGGTAAAGGATAGATACTGGACATTGTCATTCCCTGGCAGTTAAGGCTCCCAGACTGTGGGGGACCACCTACCGTGGTACTTGCCTCACATTTCATTGCATCACCACATTATTTCACTAAAAGGTCTAAGTAAAATTATGTGGTATTTCAAATATGTAAAACACAAATGTACATAAACCAAGAACAGCCTGTATATGCCTTGTAAAAACAGTTGGACATCCATGGGATATTTATCTTCATTTTTCCAGGCTTGAGGTGTAATGTGTGTTATAGTAAATTGATATCTTAAGATTTTTAGTCTAAACTTAGAACATCATCTTCCTGGTATTGTCATAAACCATCAGTGTACATAGAATCCTAGTATTGACACCAAAGTTATTTCTCTTCAAATTACTCTTAACCAATTAGTAGCAAAGAAATTATTTACTAGACAATGTGTCTTGAGTTAGGTTAGAAAATGGTAAACATTTCATCCCTCCCTTCCTCCTTTGCTTCCTCCCTTCTTTCCTTTCTTTCTTCCCTTCTACCTACTGTGGTGGGTGCTAAGATCCTGGTGAAAAAGAAGAGACATGTAAAGCATTTATCAGAACACAATATGATCAGTGCTATCTTAAAGGCATGTAGGGATTTCAAGGTGGCCCTAAGTTGGGGTGGGTGGGTGTGGTCACAAAGGATTTTCTGAAAGAAGTAGTGACTAGGTTGAGTCTTGAAGCTAGTTTGTTATTTTCAGAATTTGAATGAAATTCAAGCCATAGAAGAATTTTTCTAAGAAGAAAACCTAGGCATTACCATTCAGGACATAGGCATGGGCAAGGACTTCATGTCTAAAACACCAAAAGCAACGGCAACAAAAGCCAAAATTGACAAATGGGATCTAATTAAACTAAAGAGCTTCTGCACAGCAAAAGAAACTACCATCAGAGTGAACTTTTGAGTCTTTTAAGAATGGAGAGGGCTAAGATTGTATCTTGTGGCAAAGTTGTATTATCCCCTCTTGCTCTCTATCAACTTTGCTTTCTATTAGAAGTAAATTTGAAAAATCCAAAAGTGAGTTGAGCTGGTTGTTAAACTCAATTATTAAAAAAAGAAAAGCCAGGATCTTCTCATGCAGACTATTGGGAAAATAAATGACGGGGGAAAAAATTTCTAATGGTGCAGTGGGTGTAACTGTCTCTTGGTGGAGTAAGCTATATTTTCTGTCCTGCAGAGAAGGAGGTGGCGTGGAGGATGGCCTAATTTCAGATACTTGAAAAACTTTGCCTGTAGCCATGTAGCTATGTCCTATTCACAGTATGAGAGGAATTCTGGGACGGTAGATTACACTCCAGATGGGGAAGGAATATCAACTGAATTATTAATATCATCTGTATATTACAATGAAAATAGACAAGGATCTGAATTTGAAGCATTAATTGAGAGTCTTCCTCAACTTACTTTGGTAGAGGAGTAGAAAGACCTGGTCAAGGTGGGCAGAGAGAGATGTTCGAAAGATAATGGGACATCAGTCTGACTCACCACTTAATTAATAGCATGGCCTTTTGTTGCCTATTAAACCTCTAGGAGTTTCCTCATCAGCGCAGTGTTGTAGGGAGGAGCAACATGTTTGTAATGGATTAACCCTAAGAGCCTATCCAATTTTAAATTTTTAATTGAGTAGCCAAAAGACAATTCAATTTGGTTCCTACATACCCATTGGATACTTTTACAAACTCTTTCATATATATGAATATAAACATACATACCTAGAAATGACGTAGAAGGTATATTGTACCCTACAGCTAATACAGATTCACTAATTCTCAGTCTTACATCCATGAAACTCAAACATCTAATTTCAATCTTCTTGCCTAAATGTATCTTCAATTACTCACCTTCTAGTATATCCCAACTCAGTAAACTCTCACAATTCTCTGAAAATGTCAAGCATATTGTTGTCCCCACCCCTTAACTTGTGCTTTCAGAAAGTTCTACAGCTCAGAGATCTCTGTATTCAAATCCAGTCCATCCTTCAAGGTCCGTCATAAAAGAACTCACGAGCCACGTATCTGATTGCCTCCTCCTGGAAGCTGAGCGCGATCTTGGCTCCCCAGAAGTCTGCTCCTGTCTTGTAGTACTTGCCCACTTGCTACATTGTGTTAGGTTTGTTTGTCTAAATCTCTGTTTTGTTATTTAAGAGGAACTGGATCCTATTAATGCCTTTGCTCCCAGAGCTTAGCAGAGTTCGTGGAATGTGATGGGCAATCAGTTTATGCCAGTGGAATAGAATGAGGGGAAAACTGGTATTTTACAATGCATGCTCATACAGAGTGAAAGCCTAAGCTCTTTCATCAGTGCAAGGCTTTACATGGTCCTCCTCACTCTGCTCCAATCACACGGCCTGCTTTCTGCTCCTGGAACAGTTCCAAGTCTCTTCCTATCTTAGGGCATTTGACTCAGTTGTTTTCCACCTAGAGTGCTCTTCTCCAGCCAACATCATGTCCCATTCCCTCACTTCCATCAGATCTCTGCTCAGCAAAGCCTTCCCTAAAGCTTTCTCTATTTAAAGTGACAGTTTTACAGAACTCCTGATCCCTTACCTGTCTCATTTTTCTCCATAGCATTCATAACCATCTGACATACTAAGTATTCTTTTGTTTGCTAGCCATTTGTTTCCTCCAGCAGAATGGAAGCTACAGAAAAGCAGGGTCTTTGTTCAAGGTTTTATCTCTAGTGTCTAGAACCATGCCTGGTGCATAGTAAGTTTTGCATGTCTTCGTTCAATATCTGCTTATTCTCTTAATGTGTCTGGGCTTCTCTAGACTCACAGCAGCTTGTAATCAATGTTACTGTCTTGTTTCCAGGCCCTGATCTCTAGTGAAAAATCCAGTCTCTCCTCCATATTATAGATCTCAGCTTAAGAACCTCTGATCTAGTAGAAGTGGAAGGTCTGAACTGGAGTGGTATTCATAGAATTAATGATCTATATTAAAGGAAGGGGGAGGGATAAATAACTAAAGAAAAAAATAAAGGTATGTGTTCTTTTTTCTACAGAGGATCTCATAATCGGAAATAGATTTAAATGAAGCCCCATGCTTTTGTATTTATAATAAATTTTAGCTTAAAAGAGGGTTAATGGTCTGTGTTTAGCTTGGACACATGACTGAAATGAGATTCAAGTACATATGGAAGATTTAGTAAGTAGTTTCCATGAACAAAGCATGTTAAGAACTTTGTAGCTTTATGGGTTCTAAATAAGTTTAGGCTAATGATACAGTTCATATTTATTCTTTGATAAGAGAGCCTTCAAATTTTATCTTGATATTATGAATTTAATATATATATATTAAATTTTATCTAGATTGCATGACAATACCTGGTCTGTTTCTGTTAGAATTACCCTTATCTGAACTCAAATACATAGTGAGTTGAAAGCACCAGGCCCCAGCTTCTGTTCCAGCTGATTTTATGTGAATTGTTCTTTTTGTTTGTTTGTTTGGGTTTTTTTGATAAAAATATTAAATAGGCTACATTCCTGGTCAAATGGGTCATCCCTAGCCCTTGGGTAGTCATATTGTCAAACATGAATGAACAAGGTTTTGAAGAGATCTGATACATGGATGGAGGAGAGAGAAGACGAGAAGATGACCTTTAAATCTATTTATTAGAAAAAAAATACTTGTTGAGCATCTTCAACATACCAGCAACTGCTGTAGGCACTAAGAATATAAAGATAATTATGGCATGCTTCCTGGCCTTGTGGGAGTCCTTGTCTAGGTTTTGAGCCTGTGTGATTGGTGCTGCCAGCAGAGAAAGAGAAGAAAGCAAAGGGCATCGGGCGGAGAAAAGACTAGAGGTTAAGACTTAGGCTTGCTGAATTTGAGATGAGAACAATACATCTAAATGGTCTTACTGTGCTTTTGAATGAATGGAAAAATCTATGTTCTGTAGGGAAAAAGCAATGAATAATAATGGTAGACCAGCATAAGACGAATATGAAGTCTGTTTTCTATTGGGAAGTATACATTTGATATTTCAGAATGGGAGAAGTTTTTCTTTCTTTTTCTTTCCTTTTTTTTTTTTTAAGTTAGGACTTCTTGCCAAGTTTCTGCTTAGGAATTCTGAACTGAACTTCAAATGTTTAGGGGCTTCTGTTTTAAACACATTTGGAGTTGTGGCTTCTTCTTCAAGGAAGAGAACCCCTTGGAGTACATCAAAGAGCTGAGAAAAAAGACACAGTATGTTGACAATTTGTGTGAGGGCATCAAAACCATAAAAACTGTCTCTGTAGTATACACACATTTCAACATTAGGGGGAAAGGTTTCCGGTGAGACTCCTGGTACTGAATCAAACCCCAAATACTTGGGAAGTAATTTAACACATTCACTGTACCTAAAATATGACCTGGCTCACCCAGCCATTTCAAACCAAGGTCTAGAAGATGTTCTCTCTTGTGAGTGACCTTTAAATAAATTGTGAGGCTTCTCATTGCTATGCCCAGGTGAGAACAGTCAGGGAATAGAAGCAGGGAGAGGAATCTTCCCAGAACATCAGAAGCCATTTGACGCAGGTCCTTGGTGAAAACTGCTTAAAAATTCAATTTGCATCACAGTGGCCTAGATCTTATGATGAAAGATTGCCTGTGTTGATTCAAGACCCATTCACTCCTTAATCCTATTGAGGACCTAGTAAAAGAGGGTATGGAGTAAAATCCACACCTTCAAGGAACAATCCCACTATTAAATTCTTGGCAGAGGAGCGTGGGAGTTACATTCACACAGACCTTGTCTGGAGTCACAGCTTCATAGCTTATGAGCTAGGTAACCTCAGGCAGGGTTTTAAGCCTGAGGTTTTCTTTAAGCCTTTGTTTTCTCATTTAAAAAATGGAAACAACACTACCAACCTTACCAGGTTGTCACTTGAATCAATGAATATTGGATATAAAATACCCAGCAGATTCCCTGAGGCTTACAAAGAGCTTGAAAAATGGTTTTTGTTCCCTCGTTCCACCCTTTTTCATTCTCCTTGGGGGGATAAAATAAGCTGAGGCCTAGTTGAGGTTAAAGTGAAGAGTTCAAGTTAAGAAACTGAGGAGGTAATAATTTTTATGCCAGTTCCAATTCTGCCACCCCTTGCTATGTGACCTGAGGCAAGTCTCTTAACCTCTGTCACCTCCATTTTCTCACTAACAAATTGAAGGTGAAGATTGAAGTTTAAAAATACTCATAAATTGGAATAAAAGGGCGAGTTTAACTCTTAGGCAGAAAAAAAAAAACAGATCTGCAGGAGGCTCAAGAGGGTTGGCTTTGGAATTGGACTTTCAAAGTTTCAACAACGACTCTGAAACTTGCTTGCTGTATGACTTTGGCCTAGTTACCCAAGGTCATTGTATCTTGGTTTCCTCATCTGCTAAGTAGAAACAATAATAATAATAGTTTAAGCCTTATAGATGTGAGAAGGATGAGGAGAGAATGCATGGAAAGCACTGGATATGCTTGGCACATAGCAAGTACTCAATATCTGTCTTTGTTATCTCAGATAACCCTGCTGGAAAGCTCAAAACTTGTGACCAGAGAATAAGGATTAAATTAGCAGAGAAATCTTAGAGTGTGATTTGGAACTCTTCTGGCCTAGACACACTGAACAGGCCTTCAAAATTTCTGTTCTATAGTAGAGTACAGACTCCTAGGTTGGCCAAGTGTTTGGGAAAAATGTTGGGACCGGCAACGACTTATTTTGTTACTGGAAATGCTCATTCCTCTGAACCTCTCTTTATAGAGTTCACTACCCCTGGAATAGATAGACCTTCAATCAGGACCCCTTGGAAGAGTGTTGGAATTGCTCTAGTATGGGGTACTTTGCCTGTAGCTTAAGGAGACTGCCTTGCATTAATCATCCAGAACTTTAGGTGTCAAAAACATAGAGGATCCCAACTTAATACTCCTGCTGAGTAATCAGAGTCTGATATACTGTGGTTCCAATTCTGTTGTGCAAATAAACTTACACTTGATTCAAACCCAAATTAGCCTGTGAGAGTTACTAACCATGTCTTCCTGCTGCAGCCTTACTAAGGGCAGAGGGGCTATCCTCAGCATTGCTGTGAATAATAAATTTAACTCATTGCACATCTCCCATTCGCTGGTGTCTAGAAACTCCTAAAAGGGTTTCCAAGGAAGGAAATGGCAACCAGCAGTGTAGTCAGAGAAAAGAGGGCGTGGTCAGGGCATGATCAGGACTTCAGAAGACTTAAGTGCTAAAAATTAGTATCTTACTCACACCACTGTTCCTTAAATTATATATAATTAAAAACAAAATCAAACTATAAAAGAAATATATCCATGTCCAGTGAAGCTCTGATAGTTCTGATTTTTCCATGTGATTTTAAAATGTGTCAATGAATACTCTTTTTTAATTAAAAAAAAAAATCCCTGCTTTTCTGGTTCTCAGAGAACATGTTAGTCTGCCATGGGTAATCTAGCCCTGGTCACGATCTTGGGATCACCATCTAGAGAGCATATCTGAGAAATCTGGGAAGTGGTTTCCTTCTGATAAAAGAATGTAATTAAAGAAATGGATGGATCATTTGTTAAGTGTTTTATTTTCCCAAAGGAAGGGCAGAGATGATGTGACACAGGAGTGATGTCCTATAAAGGCAAGTCCTTAGCAGTAATAGTGCATCCAAGACTTTGAAGTGAGTTCCCATGACTTACTTCAGAAGTCTGGACTCGGAAATTAGCCTCTTGAATGGTTTCTTTTATTCTGGTCTTGCTTATTTCCAATAGACTCTCTATATTGTTGCCAGAGTGATCTCTTTGAAAAAAATGTGACCATGAAAGTCTTCTGCTTATAACGCTTTATGTGAAACTTCACCATTACCTATAGAATAAAGACAAACTCCTTTGCACCTACTTTCCTATTGATTTTCGTCTTTCCCTATTGCCCCAAGAAACTGTAGGCTCTTGCTATACACAAATACTCTTCCCAGCCTCTGCATTTCTTCCACTGCTGTTCCTTCTGCCTTACTTTCATCCGCTTTACAATTCCAGTCATTTCTTAAAACACAGCCCTGATACACCTGCCTATGGGCAGGCTTCTCTGATTCTCCAGGCAGGATTTGTGTCTCTCTTCTTTGTGCTTCCACACATTTGTTTCATATCTCTAGGGTGGCACTTCTGCTATAACTTTTCAGACATGATGATTTATATGTCTGCATATAAATCCTCTTTGTAACTATAATTCCAATTCCTTGAGGACAGGGACCAGGCTTTTGGTATTTTCATTGCCTTGTAAAGAGCCCAGCAACAGTGTCTAGCACAAACAAGTTGCGAAATAGTGTTTGCTGAGTAAATGCAATAACTGGTCAATAAATTGGCAATCATACAATAATACCTACCTCCACTAAGGCAAAGACCATGCAGCTGGCACTCTGAATAAATGAGTGAATGAATGACAGCCATTTAGAGCTGTTGTGAAAACGTAAATGAAAACTATGGAAGCTTTGTGAACTATGAATGGCCGGGCCTGGGTGAGATAGTATTACTCTGATTGCAATGAGCACAGTCTCTCTGGCTCACATAGTGATGTGGCCATGTGCAAAGGGCCATAGGAGCCAGCCTTTAGCTGCCTGACTGTCACCCCAGGTAAGGAAAAGGCAGCGTTCCATTGACTGGACGTGTAATGGGGTGAAAGTGAGCCTGCTGCTATTTCTTTCACAGCTTGTGAAGGCTGTAATGAAAAGATCTGAGAGACTTTTTCTCCCTGGTCCTGGAAGAGAGTGTCAGAAATGTCCAATTTACCACTGATTGCCACACTGGCCCAGGGATTCCACAGCAACAAGTTATTGAAACAGCTAACCAGAGTGCACATGTTGAGAGAACAACTTCACCTCTTTTATCATCCTGATTGAGTAGCAAATTAGAAATAATAACCACCATTAATTGAACAACTTCTCTATGTCATACATAGTGCCAAAATATCATTTGATCTTCACAAAATCCCACAACTGGATGTATTGTCATCATTTTAGGAAACACAAAGCTCAGTCAGTTTAAGTGGTTTCTCCAGAATTGCTCAGTGTATCAGCTATCACTGTATTATACTGCAGTAACAAACAACCCCAATGTCTCAGTGTCTTGGAGCAAAAAGACTTTAATTCTTGCTCTTATTATGAGTCTAGTACAGTGTCTGAGGTTGGCTGTGGCTCTGCCCCATGTATCTTTATTTTAGAAACCAGCCTGAAAAACAGTCCTAATTTGGAATTTATCATTCTCATGACAGACAGAAAAGAACAGTGATTGACCTACCAAAGGCCCTTAAAGCTCTTCTGTGTTGTGACACATGTTATGTCAACTCACAGTCCATTGGCCAAAGCAAGCCATATGACCAAGCTTGAAGTTAAGCAGGTAGGTGTATGTGCTTCTTCCATAGAGAGGCACCTCAAGTGTTATATCAATGAACAGGAATGAATAATTGGGAAAAAATAATTAGAGGCATTCATAAAATTACCTAATGAGTGGCAGAGCTGGGATTAAAACTGAATTTCTTCTTAACCCAGATTCCATGTTATTTCCACTGTACCAAGTGGTGTACCATGGGAATCTCTCAGGAGGTTTATTAACTTTGGTGACAGGAGCCTTGAGTAAAACTCCAAGGCTTTGATTCCTGAAAGTGCAGGAGAAGGAAGAACTGAGAACCCCATCTTGTCACTTAGCAGAACAGGATTACAAGTGTGTGTCAGGAAAGTCTTGCTCTGTAGTCTGTCAGTGTAATTGGCATGAAAAACCTACTCTCTTTCTGCAGCCCTTATTGCTCCAGTAAATCTCCCACTGTACCTCCCATTACCCCTCACTTAAAGCACGGATTATTCCTTTATTAGAGCTCAGCCACAAGTAGGCCATGAATTTTTATGGCTTTTCCAGATCTCATAAGGCAATGGGAAGCATCTATTTAAACAGAATCACTAAACTATACCACAGGTTTATGGCCTGATGAAGCATTTTGCTGGTTTAAAAGAAGCCTTACCCACTCGTTCTTTGAACATTTAGTTTCCTCCTTGAAGGAAAGGAAATTTCAAGTCCCTAATTTCAACCTCCCTAGTAGTCACCCCGTGAACTGTGGCCAGGTCGCATAATCTGAATGATCCGCCTTTGAAAATCACTGCTACCTAGGAAAAAAAAAAGTATCTCAGTCTCCTAGAGTTCTGTTAGAGTGTTTATTCTCTTTAATGAATGTGTACCTTCATTCGGCAATTTATTCACCAAACATTAATTGTATAACAACTGTATGTCACACAATGTGCTGGGCCTGACTGTGAACCCCTCAGCTTTTAATCCTATCATTGTCAGCTGCCCCTTGATAAAGAGAGAAGAAACTGTCATTTATTGAGTGACTTCAAAGCAATTTCATGAACATTGTCTTATTTGACTGTCTATATTTTTCACCATGGTACAGAGTCATCTCACTTGAACATGCCATATCTGAAATGTTCTTGAGTTGTGTTTGCAGCCTCAATAATATTGTTGAGCACAGTTGGATGTATGGATCTAAACACAGAACATGCTTAATGAGGAAAAAAACATGGTCCTCAAAGCAACTAAATCAATTTCTGCAAATAATCAAGGTATTTTCTATTAACAAGCTCCTTCTAAAAATATCCTAATGTTAAGTAGCTACTCCTAGCTTGCACATAATCAGATTCTTTCCCCCTGAGTTTTTACCCTATGAACTAGAGACATACATATACATAGTCAATTTTTCCATCTGGATTTTTGCAGATACTTTTAAATTCAACATGTCTCAAATGTCATTCACTATGTCCCACATCTACTTAGTCTTAAATTTGCTCATCTTCTCTTTCTCTCTTGGTCAATGTACAAATCAACGTCAATGTTCACCCATTCACCAGGATTTGTTACCTGAGAGACATTCTTGACTCTTCATTCTCCTTTACCTTCCCCATCCAATCAGTCACTAAGTTTTCCCTTTTCTTCCTAGAATCATTCAAATCAGTAATGCCCACTCCATTCTCACTGCCTCAGCCTTTCTTTACTGGATCCTACAACACCTCCTCTAACTGGGATCTTTTTGTCTTCAGTCTGACCCTGTTTCAGCCCACTTTAATCAGTATTTCCATAGCGAGCTTTCTATATCCAAGTCTGATCATATCTCTTTCCTCTATAAAGGTCTCCATTGGTCCCTCAGTGTGTTCAGTGGAAAGGCCTTCACTTTCAGCACAGAATAACAAAAGGATTCATGCTAATGAATACTTATTCCCATCCCCATTTTTATAATTATGCTTCCTATCCCTCAAAATGCACTCTATAAACCAATCATGTACATAGACTTACCTATTTCCTGAAATCATCCTTTCTAACATTCCCACATATGCTATTCTGTCTCCTTCTAGAAAACTTCTGCCCAATCCCAAAGACTTAGTTCAAATATACATTCCTAAGGAAAGTGCCTTGAAATCTCTTCAGGCAGGACTAAGCCCTTCCATGTTTGGACCTCCACAGGGACTTGAACTTCACTTAATTTTCTAATGTTCTCTATCAGACTGCCAGTTCAGAGGAACACAGCATCATGTCTTACTTAGATTTTGTGTTCTTTATCTCACTGATCCTCCAACCCCATCAGACAGGTTGCTATTATCCCATTCTGGAGACACTAATCAGGTTTACCTCATATTTCAAGATTGTGCAGTTAGTAAGTGGAAGGCCTGGAGGTCCACACCAGGTGTCCCCATGGCCACACGTTGTTTGCTAATACACTTCTTTACTGTTTGCAACACTAGCAGTGGCCCATGCCATGAAAATAGGAGGGGCTTAGCAGAGGGTGTCTGGTCAGAATGGCAGTCTAGCAGATTTGCCAGCAAGCTGTATATTCAAGTCAAGAACAGAGGTTGTATTTGGATTGTGTTATACATCATTAAAAATTGTCATGTTTTCTGAAGCTACTTTTATTTTCACATCATATAGGATTGAGAAAATCTTAGTAGTCTATATCAAAAATACATTATCATTATTATGGTCATTATTTTTTGGAAAGGGAGTTTTAAGGACTGGTTGGAAATTGTGAGGAGGAGCTTCTTTGGTGGGGGCTACTGTAAGCCTTAGTGGATTACCAGGCATAGATGAGAAACCCAGCCTAAACCTTACAAGTTTTGCTCCAGCAGAAATGCTTTCACTAGTTAAATTCTAAGGGTTCTGGTCTCAAGTTGAATGCAAATGCCTATAAGATGTGTCTGCATGGACATTTCTGCACCTAAGAAATAAAATCACTTCTGACGTTATCTATTCTGCTGTTCAGTGACCTCTGAATTAAGGCAAATACATCACAGATTCCTTCTGGAGTTTAGAACTAAAGAAGTGTTTCTCCTAAAGATGTGCTAACCTTTCTTTTATCACGGTTTAAGAGTTATGGAATCCAATACTTCCCAAGTGTGGGCTATGAATCAGAATTATCCAGGGAATGTAATAAATATACTGATTCCTGGATTCTAGCCCTAGAAATTCTGATTGAGAGACCAGAGAGGGGATGAAGAATCTGTTCATTGTTGGCAGCTTGCTACCTAGGCTCTTCACGGTGCACCGATTAAACTACTGTTATCACCATTAACCTCTGATACTTTTAACCTAAGGTGTGGCTGCTCCTTCTGCTGTCAGTGCTGGGCTGAGGAGGCATCCTCCTGATCTCTGACTTGGTATAGAAGCCAATGTATGCCTCTAAACCTTGGCATTTTTTCTTCTTTGGCCTGAGGGTGCTTGGTCATGGTGAAAGGTGATCCTTGGGGCTAAAGGAGTTCAGGTCTCCAACTCTCTATTCTCAGTGTGAGCGGCTGGGACTGCATCTGTGTCTGCAGGCATGTAAATGGGGACCCCGGTCCACAGGGAAGAGCATCATCTCAGGTGTTTATGGGTTAGCAGCGTGCTGATTGGAAAACTGAAGTTCTAAGAAGTAGACTTGCCCAAGGTCACCAAAAGCTAGTGGCAGAGTCCAAATATGAGTCCAAGTCACTAGACTCTTAGACCAGTGCTTACTTCTCTACTGCATGTGACTGCCATGGGGATTGAGAAGGTTGTCCCTGCCTCACATCCTGTAGGAAGGGACATAAAACATGGGATTAGAGGACTGCTGCATTTTAAAAATCAGCCCTTTGTCTGTCTTTGAACACATCCTCTACTCGCGCTTCCCTTATTACAGAAATTTCCCAGGAGAGGAACAGAAGGAAAATGAGAAGGATTCATGGAAGCTCTATATCGGGGACAGCTTTTTTTTTTTCCTTTTTAAATTTCAGGTTAACATGAACCTGCTTATTTCCTCTGCATCCTTAGTGAATATCAAATGCGATTGATTTATGCTACTTTCTCTAACTGGTGTTCTAATGGGTCCACAAGAGGAAAATAAAATATTTAATAAAATAAAATCTGACAAATGAACTCTTTGAGTGAAACAAGCCAGATTAGTGAGAGTTGCAGATGCAGCATAAGGAGGAAGGAGGTTCTGAGAGCTGGAACAAGGCCGAGGTGAACGTTGTGATGGGTTTTGAGATTTTTTAGAAATTTTAAATTGAGGGGATTTGACCATATTATACATAATCTGATGTCTCCATGTATACATTTCATCTTCACTCGCCATTCTTTTGTGGCTTCTCATTTGCTGCAGTCAGAACAGGGTTCCCTATTATGTAAATAAGGGAATGAGACAGATGGTGCCACAAAGCAATGAATTCATTTGGGGGGAGGGCTTTAATTATGGATGGGTGGGCCCGGCTGTGTTTTGGGTTCAGCAAACGTCCCAAACGTTATGGGATTGGCAAAACCCCAGATGCAGTTTTCCAGGCACATTTTAAAATCCTGTCATATTTTCAGGGGAATTGAAGTTGGGAATTGAACTTGTTCTTTATTAAATTCCTCAAGTTGCTGGCCCTGATTTTTAGCCTTTGAAACTGTGGAGGAATTTGAGCAGTGCTTTAAGGGGTTGGTCTACAATGTTTTAAGACTAAAATACCTCATAGGTACTATTGATGTTTTGAATAATCTTGTTTATTGAGTCTTTAAAAATTGGTGATCCAGATTAATATGAAGAAATTAAAATTATTTACAATCCTAGAAGATGATTGCTATTAATTTGTTGTATATTAAATTTTAGTATTTTTAGTACATGTTTTATACAATTGAAATCACACTATACTTGCAATTTTATATTGTGTTTGGTCACTTAATATTATATCACAATCATTTCCTATATCACTGTTTATAATATTTGTGAACATACAGTACTTTATTGAATTTATGACTTTGTCACTTGAAACAATTAAAAAAATATATTTTAGTCGGCATTTCTTTCACTCAGAGTAGTATAAACTAGAGCTTTAGACAGTCTGAGTTGGTTTATATCCTTGGTTGATGAACTTTCATAGAAACAGATTAACAGAATAATCAGAACTGGCTATGGGGATTTGGGGAGGTGCTATTCAAGGTCAGTGTCAATGATAAATTGATTAAAGTCATGTGGCAAGTTCACAGTCAAAGGTAGAAGGTCAAAGAGAGACCCAAGACAGGCTGAGGACATAGTATACACAAAGGACTTAGAGCTGTGGATATTAACACATAAAAAGCAAAATGCAAGTTAGGTGAAAACTTAAGAAAACAGAGTAGACCATTAGCTGTTGTGAATTTAGCATCCAGGGATTCAGCTATTCACAAGGGACCTTGCAAGACCAGAATATGGGTGTTTTATCATTTTGCTGCAGTAGCACTTTGAGTCTCATGGGTTTGTAAGGCTTGCATTTTGACTAAGCCACTGAATCTGTGAATGTAGCCAGCCACCACCCAGATTTTGGGTTTAGTTTTGTGGTTCCACACTTTTTGAGGAGAACTTAGTAATTCTCAATTCTCATAATGTGATAAATTGTTTCTTTGTAAAAACAAAACAAAAATAACAACTAGCTAAGGGAAGAACATCAACTGCCAGAGCTGGTGCTGAAAGGGAATAGAAAATAAGAAGCCTAAGTGATGGTCCCTTGCCAGGAAGCTGAACCCTTGGATTCATTAAGGAGTGGAATGTCACACTTGGCAGTACTCTGGTTCTATGACACAAACGAGTCCACCAGATGCTCTCTACAGCATTAAGAAAAAGATATTTGTGATTCCACTTCAGGCAGCACTCTACTCAGTGCAAATACTGCTCATTAAGTAAATTATTAAAGCACAACTTAAATGTTTCAGTCTTTCATGATCTCTTTTTCTGGGAGAAATTATATTAAAGTGATATTTGTAAATGTGCTGATTCACTAAGACCTTGGATGTGCCAAGGATTCATCTTAACTAAATCTCTTTTAGTGAGAATTTTGCACTAGTCAATTTCAACTCTGACAAATTCTGAATTCCCTATAAATTCCAGACAAGTGAGGTAGAATGAGAATGACCTGTTGAGGATAGAGCAATGAATTTATTGTGCAGCATGTGATTGGCATTGACCAGTGATTCACATCTCAGATGGGCAAAAAGAAAGCTGTCTGCATCTGAGTGTCGAATACACCTGTGACTGATAGGGTGACAAAAAGAGGATCATTTAAAGCCAACTATGCAAATTTGTTTTGGTGTTGGTTTGGAGCTCCACAAAATGGCCTGGCCTAAAAGAAATCATACTGAAGACAATTTTAAAAGCAATAAAAATGGAACCTATTACCCAAAGAATATACCTAGGCCTGACTTGTCACAAGCAAAATTTTGGAGGAAACAAAGTTAGCTTCAAAATCTCCCTACTGAGATGAGTCCAGTAGGTCAAAGTTGAACCCCAACTCAGTTCATTACAGTTTATTCTACCTTGGTCACTTCACCTCTCTGAGCCTCAGTTTTCTCACCTGCAAATTAGGGGTAGAGTGATGGTTAGGAGCAGTACAATTGACCTTTCAAGATATATGATAAACTCATGCTTCCTATATTCCATATATTCCATCCACATACCCTCAATAACAGAGAAGAAGGTGCCTATTTCCTCTGGAAGGATCAGACAGTTACCTGCAAAGTGCCCTCAAGCCAGAACTTAGTTTCATTTTTTTCTGCAATTCTAACATGCTCACAAGTCCTTGCACTGTCTGGCCCCAGCAACATCTCCAGCCTGATCCACTACTTTCTCCCTTACCCTGTGAGCTTTGGTGTCACTGGCCTTCTTCCTAATCCCTGCCCACATCAAGGCTTTGGACTCATACTGCCCCATCTGCATCTCCCACCAGCACCACCTCTCCAGCCTTTTACCTACTCAACTCCTTCTCATCCTTCAGATCTCAGCTCATGCTTCCCTTGCCTTTGTGCGAGGCTCTTTAAGAACTGTGGTATTTTCTTCAGAGCACTCATCCCAGCTTTTGCAACGAATTCCTCTGCCTCCCTTATCAGGTTCTAAATTTCCTGAGATCAGGGTCCATTTGATTCTGTCCATGATAGGAACACCAAGGCTTTGTACAAATGCTCAGTAAATATTTGTTGAATAAATAAATGAAATTTTAAAAATCATGCTAATTTTAAAATTCTCTTTT
This sequence comes from Homo sapiens, assembly GCF_000001405.40. Taxonomy (NCBI): domain Eukaryota; kingdom Metazoa; phylum Chordata; class Mammalia; order Primates; family Hominidae; genus Homo; species Homo sapiens. The sequence goes on from NC_000009.12 coordinate 106,307,402, forward strand.
GTAATATACCTCTTTTAATACCTCTTTGAAATAAAACATACTGTTCAAAATAATCTTTGAGTCAAATGGTCCCTCCAGGAAGTTGCATCATGCTTTGTCTTCATTGTTAGTGATTCAATGCTGCCAGCACCAAAGTGTATGTCTTTCCCCCAGTTTGAGAACAGGGAAAAGACACTGAAACAATGGTAGCCAAAGTTATCTTTATTATTCTTCTGCTGTCTTCTGCAGGATTAGTTAGTTGCTAGCATCTATATACAAGAGTTAGATAAGAGTTATCACCTTGTCAAAGCCATGATCATCTTTAAATAACAGTCCTTCCTGAATCTGTTTCAGAAAGAGGCCATGTCCTTAGAGTAGATTCACTTCAATAATAAGCACATAAGGATGGTTCCTGCTGAAAAGAAGTTCTTCTTCAGGTACAGCTGACAAATTGGCCACTTCCTCTTAGATTTCAACTTCATAACTTATGGTTTGGATGGCATATGAGTCATTGCTGTAAAGGAATGACCTCTTTTGAGGTCAGTTATGACTTTTTCTCTCTGTGAATAAAAATAAGAAAACTTAAATCCCTGGAAAATTATACAGGTAAGTATTTCAGAGTGAATCTTCTTGTTCCATTTTGTGCCCTCCATCTTTCCCAGAAAAAATGCAAAATATTTTCACTACAGTGGAAGGCAATCTTTGCCTCCCACCTAATTTCTTAAGATAAATAATAAAAAAAGATGAGAGCTCAGATGGAAAGTGAACAAAATAATAAACATATATCCACTGATGCTCTTCTACCTTCCAAATTATTTTTCAAACCAGTTTTATGAGAGCCATTTTTCCAGGGATGAAGCTTTTCAAGCCATTCCAATACATATGTTTTGGTATAGAAGATATTGCAGTATAAGGACTATAAATGTGGTCTCTGAATCATACTGCCTGATCTGATGTACTAGCTGATTTTAGCCTGTTGATGCCTCCATTTTATCATCTATAAAATGGGATTATAGTAGGACGCATCTCACAGGATTGTGTAAAATTACAGATCTGCACTAAATTAATGGTTCTCTGCTGGGAGGCCCTTATTGCTGAAAGAGTCTCCAGAGGAAATGATGGAGGCAAACTTGGGATTTGAGTCCAGGTCTGACCATCCTAAGATAATTAATAACAAAAGTAGAATTTTGTTGTGAAAGAGTTGGAAACTACTCCTGGGAAAGAAAAAATATGAAAACCATTTTTTTGCCCATTTATTTAACCTTATTCAGTCATTCACACCTCCATTCAATCCCTTCCTAAGAGCTACATCTAATAAAGGAAGGCAACAATTTTGTTTTTCTATAGTGCTGTAGAAAAATAATCTATGTATTTGATATTTTTTCTTTATATGATTTTCTTTTCTAATTTATTAAAGTAAAATGGTATCTTAATTTTTTACAGTTGGATATTCCTTGACTAAATAATATAAAGTTATTAAAATGATCATTATGAAGACGTAGCAAAATAAAATTTATATTTTAATAATTGATTCAGAAAACATTTACTGAGATACCGTTCTATGTCAGGCCCTGTACTAGGCTGTATGGATGTTGACAGGAAATGTGGCCCCGTTAGAAGCAGTTTACATAAAACAGTCAGATACATAAACAGTCAAGTAATATATAAATATTATCACAGAAATGAATATAGGGGTGAGAAAACTCAGGGAAAGTATTCCTGACGAGAGTTATGGCTGGCACTTTTTAAGGCCAAAGTATGGTTTGCCAAGGCCAGAGGAAAGAGGAAGTCAGCTTGCAATAAGGCATGAAGCTTGAGAGATTAACGTTGTGTTCAGAAAAATGTCAGTGGTTGGGCCACAGAGAAAAACATGAGAAATGGAGAAGTAAGAAATGAAATCATAGGCCAGGCGCAGTGGCTCACGCCTGAAATCCCAGCACTTTGGGAGGCCGAGGCAGGTGGATCACCTGAGGTCGGGAGTTCGAGATCAGCCTGATTAACATGGAGAAACCCTGTCTCTACTAAAAATACAAAATTAGCCGGGCATGGTGGCACATGCCTGTAATCCCAGCTACTTGGAAGGCGGAGGCAGGAGAATCACTTGAACCCGGAAGGCAGAGGTTGCGGTGAGCAGAGATCGCACCATTGCACTCCAGCCTGGGCAACAAGAGTGAAACTCTGTCTCAAAAAAAAAAAAAAAAAAAAAAAAAAACAATCATAAAGGTGAGGAGTTAGGGTTTTAAATTGAGGGTCATGGGAAGTCATTAAAAGATTTAATTAAGGAAACCACATGAACTAATTTCCAATTTTTACAACTCCATGTAACAAAAGTTTGGAGAAAGAAGTGAGGAGAGATGGTTGAGTTTTTAAATCCATAAGGTAATTGATGCAATTCTTGCAAGAAAGGGGGAAGTTCTCCAGTATCATATGTTAAATATACACTTATATTTTTCTCTCTTACATAATGGAAAACAAATAGCCCATTTTTTATAAGTTCATTCTTTAGCTATGCTATTGCTGTTAATCTACTCTGTAAAGAAAGGAGGAGGGACAAGGGTTTAAAGAGTATTTCTTAGCAATTAAGCACCATGATGATTGCTTTTACATGTTAATAACATTGTGAAATGGGCATTGTTTCTAACCATTTTCAGCTGAAAAGTCCCTGAACCACACTGGTTGTGAATATTTGTCCTTTTGTTTGAAGATATTCTCAAAGTGAAACCATTGAGTTCAGAACTTCGGAATGTCATTAGAGCAGCAACAGTTCTGCTCATTATTTTTCTTATTCCCTGCCTCCATACCTCAAACCATTCATCTGTGCTATTCATCATACATATCAGCTCTCCCATTTGGGGGGCACATAGTAGAATTGTACTCTCTTGCTCCTTTTTGCTTGGGTGGGACCACAGGACTAGTTCTAGCCAATGAGTTTGAGTGGAAGTCATAATTCATGTTACTTCAGAACTGGATCATTTAGTTGCCACTGCGAGATACTCCACAGCTGTCTCTCTTCTCAGTCATGTTGCCCTGTTATCCTGAGTTGTGAGGATGATGATGACACTAGAGCAAAGCTCTAAGCTGAATGATCCACAGTGGACATGTTGTATGAGTGAGTATTAACCCTTGGTTATCTTAATTTAGAGTTTCTCAGTCTCAATCCAGCTAGTCATATTTAGGGCTGGATAATTTTTTCTTAGGGCGTTGCTGTGGTTTGACTCTGTGACCCTACCCAAATCTCATCTCGAATTGTAATCCTCACATGTTGCAGGAGGGACCCATAATCCCCATGTGAGGAGGGATGGAAGTAGTTGGATTATGTGGGCAGTTTCACCCATGCTGTTCTTGTGATAACGAGTAAATTCTCATGAGATCTGATGGTTTTATAACTGGCAGTTTTTCCTGCACTGTCGTTCTCTCTTGCCTGCTGCCATGTAAACATGCCTGCTTCCCCTTCCACCATGATTGTAAGTTTCCTGAGGCCTCTCCAGCCATGTGGAGCTGTGAGTCAATTCTTTTCTTTATAAATTACCCAGTCTCAGGGAAGTTCTTTATAGCAGTGTGAAAACAGACTAATACAGGGGTGGAGTGATGTGAAAGAGCTCTTTTGTGTATAGGATGTTGAGCAGTAACCTTGGCAGTTTCTCACTTGTTGTCAGTAGCACCCACTTCCCCAGTTGTGACAACCAAAACTGCCTTCAGACATTGCCAAATAGGGCTATGGGGAAGATTGCTCCTGATTGAAAAGCACTGTTTTGAGCCACTAAGATTTTTAATCATTGCAGTGGCATAACCTGGGTAGGACTGGCATATACTCCAATTCCTTGCTTTTATCTTTTGCTCCCTCTCTTGTAAGGTTAATTCTTCACATATACTTTTGATCTGTGAGACGTTATGTTTTATATCTTAACAATTTTTGACCTTTTTGTGCATTTAAAGCTATCATTCAGTTCAAATGCCATTAAAATTTGTCCTTTCATGATCTCTACTCAACCTAGACAAAACAGTTTCTCATAATAAAAGTGTCTCTTGGCAACAGTTGCCATTAAAACGAGTTAGGATTTTTTTTTTAATTGCATCCCAGTTTAGTTTATTAACAGTCTTCAGGCTGCTACCACAAACTGGTTCATTTTGGTTTACTTGAGGACACACACAAGGTAATCAGGAAAGTTCTTGTTTTTGACAAATTTGTAAACAAATTGGGCAGGGAATGAGTATTCTTAAGAAAATATAAATCATAATACAGTGTATGGTAAAAATTCTTTTACCATATACGTAGTGTTTAAGTGGTACCTGACGCATAGTAAGTACTCAATAGATCTTAGCCATTGTTATTATAAACACTATTATTTTTATACTATTTTAAAATCATGTTGAAATTCCTGATTTATTTCCCTGTTGCCTGTACTACACAGTAAAACTCTTCAAAAACAAGGACCATATCCTACTTGACCTTGAATTCCCAATGTCTGGCTCTCTGGTATAAGGAAAAAATATTGAATGAATTAATATAATTTAAAGTCAAAGTGGAAGTGATAACAGATTTAACTTGGATTTAGGAGAAGAGAGCAAGCTTTGGATTAAAGTATTCTAGGGATACTTCAGGAAGCTGCTTTTTTAAGGCAAGATTGAAGAATTTAGGTGAAAACTCTTTGTACTTAGAGATTCATAATTTCCATAGAGAGTCATAATTTCCATAGTAGGTTATTTTGTCTGTTTATTTTTAGGAATAAATAGTATCAGTAATACAGTGTGAGTTAAATTGAAACTTTGGGTCCAAGATCTGCATGGGAGTCTTAGCTCTAACACTCACAATCTGTGCAGGAAAACATATTGTTTCAGACCCTTGACTCCTCCATCTGCAAAATGATAATTATTAATAATATCTATTCTGTATACATCACAGAAGTGTTATAAGGATCTCCATAATGTATATAAAAATACTGATAAAATGCCGTTAACATGAAGTGTATGACTGAGAGTGGTTTACAGACACCATTGAAGAATATCCAGAGACTAAACAAATGTCTTGCTGAGCATCTGGAACTAGGTCTGCAGAGACCTATAGAAATGACTTATATTTCATACCTGGGCAACTAAGAGTGAGATGACAAAGTAATAGATGCATTGGCTTAGCAGTAACCGGAAACCTGGGTCCCCACCTTGGTAGCAGTTAGGAGTACTTGGGATTAGACAACAGGACTGTGTCCACTGCAAAATCCAACCCTGGCCTATCAGTCATCAGGAGGCATAGAGAAGGTGAGGTGTTTTACTGTCCTGTTGTGATCTTCTTCCTGTTGGAGGTCATCCTGACTACAGGTAGGTTCCATGCCAATTTCTTACCATATTTGAGGCAAAGATAAAATGATTTGAGGGAACCTCTCAAATGGCTTATTGAAACGGAAGAAAGAAATTATACAATGAGAAAATGAAGAATGAGAAGGGATTGGAGATGAATACCAAAAAGTTGACAAAAAGGCACTTGAACCTGAGGCAGAAAAAAAGTGAGATAGAATCATAATCCCTGTAGCTATTAAATATATAGGAGGATTTTTCCCACAAAAATCAAGTCTTTTACAAATGTGTTACTTCATACTCCCTAGAAAATGACAAAAGTTTACAAGTATGCAAGAGAATTTCTAGAGAAGGGGCAGATTTGGGTGGTTTGTAATATCCTGTGGCTTCCTTTCTACCTGATATGGCCAATCAACAGACAGGCTGTGGTTAGAGAGTCTGCAAAACCCTGCCTGAGATGCTCCTTAAACCCAGTGACCACTTTTCTCTCCAGCTGCCTCGCATGATGGCAAATGGCATATTTAAATGGTAAAAGGCTTGATCTCTATCTCAAAACATTTGACATACTCACACTGAAGATGGAAAAAACTGTTTTTGATGGCTTCAGAGGAAAGACTGTGTACTAAGAAGAGGTAGGTTTTAGCTCAATATAACAAATTTCTTTCCAAATATGAAGGTGCTCTAAAAGTTGAATGAGATGCCTGATGGGACGATGTTTGTCCTGTTACTGTAAGTGCTTATTAAGAAGGTAGATAAATACCCTCTTGGCTGGACTGCTGTGGGTAGGAGCTTTCCAATTCAACATTTGTATCACTTTAGTCCTGTCTTCCACCCAGCATAGGAATTTCCTCCATAGCGTCCTTGGAAAATGAGTATGTATTTGTTAAGTGTGCATATTACTAGCTGCTGCTTGATCTTATAGAGGCTACAAATTATAGATTTATAGAACAACTTTCTTGGAAAAGGTATGGGGAATGATTTCCAGAGTGCAGGTGGAAAAACCTCATTCAACCAGTAAACTAGCAGGAAGAATATCCCTCAGTTTGAGAACGTACTGAGAAAGATTCAAGTTCTAGTAGTTACTGTTTCTGTTTTATCTTCTATTAAAGATACATAAATTATTGTCTGCCGATTATGTTAATGTTTAGAACTTTATAATTTGAAAAGTATTTTCATATTTTAAACATTTTATTTAGACTTCAGAAAAACTTCACTATTATCCCATTTCATAGGGGAAGACAATCAGAAAACAATAGATACTAAAACTTGAATTTTCCTCTTTGTGCTGAGACTATGTTAAAGACTTCGCATGCTTTACTTCTAGATCCTATAATACCTATACAAAGTGGTCATCATTTTCATTTTATTCCAGGAAACTTAGAGTAGTAACATAGACCAAGGTGTGAAGCAGCAGGTCCCATAAATTGGGCCACCACTAGCAGGACAAAAGGTCAAATATTCAGATAAAAAAATATAAGAAACAAGAGTTTAGGGTTCATCAACACTCAATAACACATGAGGATGACATGGTGTCTGGCCTCAAAGAGCTCATGATCTAGAAGGACCTGGGTCACATGTCTGCGTTTTGGCCTAGGGACCTCAGCAACCAGCCCAGAACTTCATCTAATGTATTTAATGTAATCTTGACAGTAACCTTACAAGAAAGGTATGTAGAGATTGAAGACTTGCCAAAAGCCACACAGTTACTGGATAGCAAAGCCTGAACTTGTAGTAATTCTACTGAAATGTAAAGTTCCATATTTTTCCAAAGTCTCTAAACTTCGCTGAAAATTGAGCTCAGTAAATTTTATTATTCTCATACTTAATTGACTCTTTGCCTACAAAAGCTGCTTCCATCTTTTCCCATGTCACTCAAAAGCTCATATTTCAACAAATAAACTCCCACTTTAAAAAAAAGATTTCTAGCCATTGCCCACATTCCATCTCAGAATTTATCTTCCTTTACTCACCCTGGACTTCTGCCCTTTCTCCTTCTTTCAAAAGAAGCCATGTGTCTTCATCCTAAGGTGAACTTCTCTACTGGGTTTGACTCAGATGAGTATAATGGAGAGAACACTCATGGAATTATGACCACTGCCCGGGAGTCCAGGCTGTACTGCTGGTTTCTGGTAATACAGGGTCACTTTCCCATGCAGGGCAATTTTCACTGTGTTTTTTTTTTCTTCTTAGAGAGAATTCACTATATCTAATTTAACTATAATAACACCCTTGAGTTAGGCACTATTGTTATGTCGAATATATTGTTACATGCACCTTATATGAAACTGAAACTTTGAGAGATTAAGAAATTTAGCTAGTAGCACACAGAGAGTAAGTGATACAGTCCCAAATCTCTCAGAACCTATTGAATGCTCTAATCTGTGGCTTCCCCTCCCCAAATTCCTTTTCTATAAATTGAAAGAGTTGGTTCAATCAACTTTATTTTATTTCTAGTGATGTTTCTTTTAAAAAAAAAGATACGAGGAACCCAAAATATATAAGGAGAAAAGGCAGTGTTTAGAGTATTTTTGAGTTCAAAAATATACCTATTTTTATAGATTTACATGTATATTTATTTAATTATACCTATTATAAAGTCAACTAAAATATTTCAAAATTATATATCAATAAAATTTTGAAATCAGGGGTTATGAGGGATAATTGGTGTCTGAATCCAGCTATTCCATTGATTTGTTTTGGTTTCATGGCACAAAAAATCCTGATTCAGTTAGAGAAGTTATTTACAAAAGATAACAGTTTTTCAGTGGTTAAGCTTATTCTTCCATTAACAATTAGTCAAGATAAAAAGAAATAATAAAATCTTTTTTCTCAAGGTGAACTCACTAACATCGAATAGCTACTCACTTTGCATTACTTGGTAAGTGTTTCATTTGGGGAGTATTAATAAACTGGCTTCTATAGAGTTGGGTGAAATGTCTTTGGAAGGAAATACTTTTCAAATATATCTGATAACAATATAAGATTTCTCAGTTATTTTATTAAAAAAACTCAGATGCCTTAGCACCTCTGTCTGTCATATTTCAAGGCTGTAAAAATCTACTTTGTTTTCCATTCAGTAGAAATTTCAAGTTTCAGTTTCCTTGCTGACACCTTATTTGCAATTATAAGCATGAAAACACCAGGATTCTGAAAAGCTGTTGTATTTTTGCTAGCTACTTAATGAATGGAGTTCCTTCACTGATACACACATTTTTTTTTCTTCCTTAAAATCTTTGAAATATTTATGCTAGCACCTTGCCTTTAGTTCATCATAAAACCTTTCTGTAAAGAAGGCTATTCTGGAACATACTGCCAATGTAATTACCAGCAACTCTGAACAACTGCAGTTTTAAGGCTGCATCTTAATATAACTGATTATTTATATGGCCCGATCCAACACTGTTTAGAAAGATGCTTGCATGTTTGTAGGAAGTTAACACCTAGTGTTTGGCTATACAGTGCCATCAAACAGTCATTAGACTACTTGAACACATTGGATAGTAGCTTTAAAGCAAGCCATTACATCGTGCTTTTCCCAGACATTACTTTCACATCAATTACTCTTTGGCCAGTTTAAGGTAAACTATCTTCTTTGTTTTCATCTGCGTGAACCCAGTATAGAAAAATAAGAATCATGTTGAAAACCACACTATTAGTAGTAAAGCCTACCAAAAAGTTCACAAAGTGACTACTTTTACTAATCCGTTCTGTAATTTGGATGTTAAAAGTTTCACTCCCATGTACACATATCAACAGAAAATGGGACCAAGCGAATTTCAGGACTTCACAAAACAGAATTCAAAAACTATAAAATCAGAAAATTTCCAAGTTTCCTTCCACTCCCAGCTTTCTATGTTTATGGCTATTTTATTGTGATCATATTATTTTCTCTGAAGTTTCTAATTCTCTTTGCTCATTTATTTTTAGTCTTCTCCACTGCCTCCTTTCTGTCAGAGAATATGCACCTTTGAAATGTGGCAAGTCTTACTGAGGAAATTAATATTTAACTTTAACTTAAGTGGAAATAGCCACATGTGACTAGCGTCTACCATGTTAAACAGTGGAGATATAGAATAATACATGCTTTTTATAAAGTATTAATATAAAACAATCAATGGAAGAATAAATTCAAAAGGCCAGTAAACATATGCTCACTCAGATATCAGTTTTCCCTTTGCAATTGACAAAAAAACAAGATTGGCAATATATATTTTAGTTAAGGTGGGAGAAAATGGATTCTCTCATACTCTCTTGGTGGGAGGGTATTAATAGGATCTTCGGAGTCACTCTGGAAGTATTTATCACCATTTTAACTGTCTATATTCTTTTCTCTAAAATTCCAATTCTGGGTATACACCTTACATAAATACTGGCATAAAGATGGACAAGAAAGTTCATTGCAACACCATTTGTATTATTGAAAAAAGTTGAAAATTCTTAAATGTGAGGCCACATGAGCAATACATTGCACAACTCCAGGCGACATTCTTCGCCCTGTAATCTGTATGGATGGTAAATTTTATGTGATACACTCTGAAAACCCTGATATCTCTAACAATGTCAGAAAGCTGAATGGGTTATAGTATATCTCTTCTGCACTACAGAATATTAGATAGTAAAAATAATGGAGTAGATCTCTATGTACTTCTGTGGATATATGCAAGCTAGACTGTACCAAAGAATACCACTTGTAGCTTGTGCAATAAAATACCACTTATATTTAACAAAACAATGACATTCAAAACAACAAAACAAAACAAAATTGTATATGAGAAACTGTAGGATAAATTTTAAGAGTATGGACTGTGGAACTAGACTAAGATGGAACTGTATGTCTGAAACTCACTATATTTCCTTGGAAAAATTGCAAAGCATTAATCTCTTCATCTGCAAAGTGGGCATAACAGTAGTGCCTACTTCATGAGGTTATAATGAAGATCAAATAAGTTAACATATAAAAAACCTTTAGAAGAGGGTATGGCACATACTGAACAGTACTAATATCACTATTATTATGGGCATTATTTTTACAACATATTTGTGTGTACTTGCATAGGAACATAAATATAGAGAGAGATATCCAAAAGAATATACACCAAATTGTTAACATTTCCTTCATCACAAAAAATTCTACTTGACAGCACTATTCTAGATATTAATCTTTTATTTTGTACTTTACATATATTTCTTCAAGACTGTTGCCTTTTAAGATGGTTGGTTTCTTTTGTAATGCAAATATTTTTAATTTTATGTAGTCTAATATATTAATTTTTTATTGGCCTCCTTGTTGGCCTGCCTGGCTTAGAATAGTTGTCTAAGTAAAAATTTGGAAAAATGAAATGATCAGGTTACACTGGGAGTTTAATTCTTAGTGTTGTCATTTGGCTGCAGCTCAGAGGGCAATGCCCCGTTTAATTGGGGCCTCTGTTCCCTAGTTGTCATGACTCCCTTTGCTCCCTATCACCGCACGTATGCTGTTGGTATTTTAGCCATGATTGCCTATTTGTTTTCCTTATAGGAGAGAGCTACTTCTTGGTCCTGTGTCTCTATCAAAACTGAAAATGTCAAAGATCAACCAAAAAAAAAAAAATGCACTTGTGGTTTGTCTCACATCAAGCCTACTTCTCTCATTTATATTCCTGTGTACCTCTTTAGATATCTGAATTTGTGATTGATCTGGGTGTCTATTCCTATGCCCAGCTTAAAAATTATTATGACATTCTATAATCTGTTCTATATTTTGGAATAAATAATTAAAATATTGATTATCTGTTTTTTAACCATATTAAACAATATTTAACTAATATAAATATGGTTTATCTGTTAAATATTGTTTATCTGTTTTTCCAACTCACTTAAAAACCATGTCTTGAGGTCCTATTTAAAGAATAATAGCAACTAGTAAACTAGTAAATAATAGCAACTAGTAAAGTGTTGCCATATTCTCGCAATAGTCTTGTGAATAGCTATAGATTAGGAACCTAGATCATAGACAGGTTAAACAATTTGGCTAAAGTGACACTGCTAATAGTGGTAGAGTCAGAATTTGAATCCTGCTACTGATATCCCAGAGCACAGCACAAACTCTGAAGCAAGTAATTAATTTTTAAGGAAAAAAAGTAAGGAAAAGAAAATCTTCTAAGTAAAGTAATTTTTCTAGGTTTGATAATTACTGTTTTTCTATATCTTCATCAGTTTTCTAGTTTCAAATTTATCAGTTGAAATTGTTGAGTGTAGTCTCTTATGACATTTACTAGCTTTCAACATCTATTTTCATGTCTCCTGTATTGTTCATAAGACTGTTCGTGGAAATCTGTTTTTCCCCCTCTGATAATACTGCCCAAAAATCTGTCTACTTTATTAGTCTTTAAAAAGAACACATTAAAAATTCTAATCAGTATGATCTATTTTTTAAAATAGATTTTATTTTATCCTTTAAAAATCTTCAATAACTCCCAGGTCACATTTCTTTTGCATTATTTTGCTTCTCCTTTAAGATTCTTGGGTGAGGGTCTGACTCGTTTATTTTCAGTCTACTTTTTTTGTTATACAGAGTTCTATGGCTTTGCATTTCCTTTTGTGCACCCCATTTGGCTTCTGTCCACATGTTTTATTATGAAAGGCTCTCCTTTTTATCATTTCTGAATTATTTTCACATTACATTTTGATTACTTCTTTAACCTAGCATTCTATCAAAAGGTATGCTTAAATTTCCAAATAGACAGATTATTTATTCTTCCTTGTTTTTGGATTCTGTGACAGAGAAAATGCCACGAGTTTACCCAACCCTATTTCAGGTCTCTTCTTTTCTGGGCAGGTGGAAGCTCCATACTCCCTAACACTTGCAGTTAGACAAGAGCACAAGACTAATTCTGGCCAATAAAGTGTGAGCAGAAGACATGTACAAGCTGAGTCAGTGAAAAGCCCTATTTCATTGCACAGGTCTTTGCTTTTCTGCCCTCTTGAGGGGTGAAGGCTAAGTCCTTTGTCAGGATAGCTGAATCACAGAGTGAAAGAATCTTTATTGACTGTAAACTAGTTCAACCATTGTGGAAGTCAGTGTGGCGATTCCTCAGGGATCTAGAACTAGAAATACCATTTGACCCAGCCATCCCATTACTGGGTATATACCCAAAGGACTATAAATCTTGCTGCTATAAAGACACATGCACACGTATGTTTATTGCGGCATTATTCACAATAGCAAAGACTTGGAACCAACCCAAATGTCCAACAATGATAGACTGGATTAAGAAAATGTGGCACATATACACCATGGAATACTATGCAGCCATAAAAAATGATGAGTTCATGTCCTTTGTAGGGACATGGATGAAATTGGAAATCATCATTCTCAGTAAATTATCACAAGAACAAAAAAACCAAACACCGCATATTCTCACTCATAGGTGGGAATTGAACAATGAGATCACATGGACACAGGAAGGGGAATATCACACTCTGGGGACTGTGGTGGGGTGGGAGGAGGGGGGAGGGATAGCATTGGGAGATATACCTAATGCTAGATGACGAGTTAGTGGGTGCAGCGCACCAGCATGGCACATGTATACATATGTAACTAACCTGCACAATGTGCACATGTACCCTACAACTTAAAGTATAATAAAAAAAAAAAAGAAAGAATCTTTATTGGTGAGGAGAAATAAACCAGAGGCATACCTAGAATGGATTTTGCAAGAAAAATACATTATTGTTTTGGGCTACTATTTCGGGGTTTATACCTTTATTTAGTACAGCCTATACTGATGAGTGCAAATCATTATTATTACTTCTGTCAATATCTTCATAGTCATTGGTATGTTCTCCTACCAACAAATTAGGAAACATTTCCTAAATTGTACATAGTAGCAACACAGTCAAACCAAAAATGTTCAGTAGAGGGGAAAGCCAACAAACTCTTCAGTACCATCAATTTAATGAAGTAGCTGTACTTGTGCTCTTAGTCTTCTATAAGCAAATGCAGTGTCATCCATTCAGTCATTCATTTACATTTCCCAATCCCCTATTCTTTATGGGATCTTGTGATGAGCTCTTTGGAATCCCACTATGAACAAGAACCCACCATGGAAGAAAGTGGCACGTTTTTCTAAAATTTCTGAATAAGAATGATTAAGGATGATCCAAAGCTGATGCTCTTTCCAGCATCTATGGCCTTTGATTCCTCAAATGGCTGCATCACCCATCTTTCTCACTCCTCCCATGATCATGGCTCATTATTGAATTTTTCTGATTTTGATTATTTTTCTAATTATCTCTTGTTTTGGGGGTTTTATTTTTAGCCCAACTGCTGCCTCTGATTTGAGCATTTTTTTGCACATGCTATTGTTTGCAGACACATTTTGGCTGAGACCTCATCTGATGAGCCATTTGTTAGTTCTGATTGAGTAGGTCACTTGTGGGCTCAATTAACCACTTGCCCTTCAACTGATGGTGCAAGTGGCCAATTGCACCTGCAATTAGCTAATTAAGGGTTTGGTCATTTCCATAGGCAATTTTGCCTTTATCTAATTGTGGGACTGCCCAAGCTTCCTTTCATCATTTGAGCATATACCAGCCTGTATGGGCAGAGGATGATGACTTTTGATGAAGGTAAAGTAGTAAAAAGAAAATGTAAAATTTTAATGCTCTAATGCAATTGTCCAAATTAGATTAAATATACAAATTAAAACTCTTGAATTTGTTCTGTTCATATTTTTTAAAGTCTCTATATAGATGGTTCTAAAATATTTTGCATAATGGGTATCTGTCTAAATATTTAGAATTCCTGAATTGATTTTGTGTGTGTGTGTATGTGTGTGTCTGCACATGCACATGTTGGGGGATTATGCATGTGAACTCATCCCAAGAATTTGCAATCCTGGTCTGAAAGAGCTGAAGGTACAACAGAACATAAATCATTCTCTCCTACAGAGAAATCAGGGTAAAAGAAGGCTGTAAGCTCGAGAGGAGAGGAGGGAATCCATCACTCCTAGCCTTTTGATAAATGCTTTACAAATAGCACTTAGTGGGCTGAATATTTCATACAAGATCCAGGGAGCAGACTGGAAGCACATTTTTTTTTAACTTAAAGCCAGGACAAAAGAACTGCAAACATCTCAGAACCCCTCTTCTGCCTGTAACATAAGCTGAAACCAGTCAAGTTCTTCTCATCTAGAAAGTAACCAGTTCGTAGACGACAATCAGAGAAAGCACTTATTGTCCAGAGTTTTCATTGTATATAATCTTTTGGAATCACAGCCACACAGCCAATTTCTATGGCCCATCTGTCAGGACATTGAAATTGCTTTATTATACAGAACCCGCTCACAGATTCTGTGGATTCAGTAAGGAATATTTACTGAGTGTCATCTGAGATCTCAGAGGTTCCATAAAACACTTAATTAACATACAAAATCCACTTCAGCTAAGCCTATACCTACTTTCTGAATATCAGTTACTGATTTGATTACTCCTGAGGCTCGGGTTGGCATGGGGAAAAATTGCAGAAGCTACTAGAGAACAAGCTAGAGGGAAAGCAAGGTGGGCAGCCTCTGACAGCTGCTATTTTCTCCCCGGGGCGTAAGAGCTGGTGACATAGCCCCACCACAGAAACATAGAAAAACGGTCTGCAGAGCTGCTTTTGTTTGTTTCTTCATCTTTCTGTTTTGTTTGTAATAAGCAGGAGTGCTGTCTTGCATTGAAAATTAATTGTTTATGTTTTATCTGAGTTGCTTTTCTTGTTTACCACTTATAAGCTGTGTTATCTTATGCAATTTACTTAACCTCTCTGGGCCTCAGTTCCTTTTCTTTTTTAAAGAAGATAAAGATCTCACTCGGAGTTATTATGAATACATGAGATAATTTAAGATCAGGTGGAATTTCTCCAGCATTGTCAGCCTGTGGTGGCTAGAGACTAGCCCCTTAAGATCAAGGAGTATTGCTCATGAATAGCGCTCAGAATGTAACAGAAATATTTTGCACAGATGGGATACCGGAAATATAATTGTTGATTTACTGGGTAGAAATTGATGAGGTTACATCAGCAATAGCAATGGTGGTTCTATAGCTTTGGGCCTTTCGTGTACACATGACCTCATCTCCATGTAATGAATTTTCAAGGGTTTATGGCCATCTTCGGGTTGTCTCCTTCCTGGCACCATTATTACTATTCTGTCTCAGCAGGGTATTTGTTGAGTGCCACTAACAACAGGCAAACAATTCCTGAAAGCAAACAGGGCCTGGGGCTTCAGAGACATTCTGAGGAAAAGCAGAGAAGAAAGTCCCTCTCTCTGCTTAAGGGCACATTCCATCACAGGGGTCCTAATGCAGGGCTGACCTTTATGATGACAATTACTGGGTGTCTCCTTTCGCCTCCTCATTCCAGAGTACTCAGATATGATTAATCCCACGGGGCCTATGCTTAGAGAAAAATCCAACAGCCACCACACCTATCTTAGAATGATAGTGCTGTCTCCACTGGGCTGGCTTCCTCTTCCCTGAGTTTGCTCCCAGGAAACTCCCCATGGTTTTATGCAAAAAGGCATTTGGCAGACCTGTCCCATACTTGTCAGACATCTCCAGATATGTCTGAATCCGTGCTTAGGCTCATGCTGAGACCCCAGTTATAAACATAAAACTTCTATAGCATTTGATGCAGAGTAGAAATTTTTAAGTGTAGATCTCTTTCCTTGTTCTGGAAACCAGATTATACATTGAGATTGTGGGTTGTTTCTCAGATTTTCATTTTATTTTTTTCTTTAGATATAAGGGAATTTCCAAATTAAGGTGTTTTCAATCACAATGAAGGAGTCAGACTTCTCCTCTCAATGACTCTAAATACTGGTTCTACAGAGGAATGGAATAGGCTTCAACTTCAAGGTGTACTGTTTCAAAATGTGTCTTCTTTAAGACAAAATTGGCCCTTAAGAGTTCCCCTAATGTCATTTTATGTATCAAACAAGTTGACCTCCAAGAAACCTACTTTTTCAGTCAATTTAGGCTAAGTTTGGCTGAGGTAACAAATGATCCCCAGTCTTAGGGGTTTACAACAATAAAAGTTTGTTTATCACTGGCTTACATGTCCATCATGGGTTGGCTATGGCTCCATGTCCTTTTCACAGCAAGACTCAGGGTGGAACAGCCCTTCTCTGGAGCATACCAAAGAAGAATTGGATCCAACCTATAGTTGACCAGAAGCCACCTAGTGTTTTTAAGAGGAGAATAACATTACTAAGTTGAAATGATCACTCTGATGCTAGGGTGGAAGGAACATGAATTGCAAAGGAAGAAATTGGTAGCAGGGGAACCAATTACAAGGTATGTACCAAGTGTTATGAACAGGATATGTAATAATGGTATTATCGAATATTGTTTCCAGCATGATACATCCAGTAGGCCATGGAGAGGACATAGCTTGCACCCTTACTTCCAGACTGTCCATTAACGAGAAATAAAGGCAGGCCAGATTAGTGACCAGTTGCCGTAGAGACAGGCTAACTCCTGGAATGCACAGTGAATGCAGGGCACAACACAAAAAGCCCAATAAAGACTTCTGGCTTGTGTAAAATGACCTGCCACTCCAGAAATACCTTTGGGTTCTTGGAGAGAGGAACTGTTGCCAGCCTGGAGGCTGCAGCGGGAGTTCAGCATCTCAGCAAATGAATTTTTGTCTTCTTGCACCTGTCGGTGCCCCATAATGTCCTGCTAATCTCTCAGTCTCATTTGTCCCAGGGCCTGCTTTCCATCCGATGGAACAACTGGCAGCTCAGGCAATTACGATGGAGAGGCACCCTCTTCGAAATATACACAGGGCTTTATTTTCAGGAAGCTTGCCTGGGTTCGCTCTTGAAATTGTATTTTTGGCTTTGCTAGGCATCTCTCTGAGGTTACCATTCGTAGATACATCCGTTGAAATTTTAAGAGCAAGTCTATGACTTAGGAGGAGGGAGTGGAGGGGTCTTAGGTATTTAAATGGGCTCTTTGTAATCTCTCTCTCTCTGTGGTTCACTGAGCAAACTAGCCTTGTAGGAAGGCATTGATCATTCTCCCCACAGCCTCATGAAGGAGAATGAGCAAGCTGTGAGAGATTTATATCCAGGCTGGACTCTCCTCCAGCTGTGAGTGACACAGTCAAAGAAAGCCTGTCAGTGCCACCCCCATGGTGGGGCTGAGGCTGGAAAGATGTCACCTCCATCAGAATGGGCCGGAGGTGAGAGAACCCCCTTGATTGACAAGCCCTATCCCCAAAGTGATAAAAGAAGGGGCACTGGCACCGAAGGAAGCTCGAAGGAAGCTTTGGGGTGGGCAGAAAAGAGAGGGAGTATCATCTAAACAATTTACTGTTGTTCTGTTCTCCTCATTCAGTTCGGGGAACCAGGCTGCAGCCACATCTGTGAGCCTTCAGCTCGGCTCAGGCTCAACGTGTCTCTGGGTTGAAGAGACTTCTCAGATTTCAGGAGTCCTGCAAGCCTTTGGAATGCTTGCCACTGAGGAATTTGAACATTAAAGGGTTCAAAGGTGGTTAGAAAATCCAGTCCTCAAATTGTTCAAAGAAAAACATGTCTTCTTGGTCTTACTTTTATGACTTGAACATGAGGATCAGCGGTACTAAGGATTCAGGGGCATCTCAACCTTTACCTAGCAAGCTCTTTCTTCTAAGAAAGTCAGTATTCTGCTGTATTCTCTTAATTTTTACAAGCTGGGGAAGGAGGACGAGTAGTTATTTGGACACACAGAGCTGTTTTAGTGATATTCATAATGGAACATTGTAAATCTGAAGAGTCAAGGTTCAAATATGGGTCTCTTAGCATTTGACATATTTTTATTTTGGGTCCAGACGAAGTACATTTTTAATAGGCAGGACAACGCTTCCTGCCTTCAATCAGAGATAATACCAGACTGAGATGATATTCAGAGACAGCAAGTTGCATTTCAACTGAAGATAAATATGCCCCCATGAAATTTCACCCATTCTGGCTTTAAAACATGTTATGTCCAAGGTCAATTAATTGTACTTGCAACTTACAGCCAATCAGAAGGATGAGCTAGCATCAAGATTCTTTTGCAAAATGAAAATTTATCTTTAATCAGTGTTTTCTTTTGCTTTTCTGGGCTGTTTCTCACTTGCAAAAAAAGTATATGCATTATTCAAAAATTAGAAAAAAACGAAGAATGGATTAGCAGTGGGACATGACAATGTACCAAGACATTTAAAATAAGTTATTCCTAAATGGATTCATGCCAAATGAAGAAGCTTTCCACAGCATCTGCGACCTTGAAATTTAGCCTGAGATTCTGCTTCAGAAAACAATGGCTGAGCTTCCTGATTGAGCAAGCCTTAGACTAGTGCCTTCTACTGAGTTATTTTTTTTATTTTTGAGGACCTTTCTGGAAGGTATGTAAGAAGAATAAGGTATAGATCCTGTCCTCAAAGAAATGACAGCCCAGGGGGAATATAAGCCCCAAGCGCATGAGTGTGCTGCATAATTTTCTCAGCTTTCTCAGATTGATCATTTATAAAATTGGAATGAAAGTATTTCTCATATCTTCCTCCCTGGCTACTTTGAGAATCAAGAGAGGGAGGGAGGGAAGGAGGGAAGGGGAGAGAGAGAAAGAGAATATGAGAATGAGAATGGTTGGGAGGAATTTTGAAGACTTGTAAATTATTAAAAGGCTCTCTAGATCCATTGATGGTTGTATCCTACTTTTAAAACCTGACAGGGCATCTTTGTGTGAAGTAGCCAATGTAGCACCCTTAAGAGAAATGCCCCTTATATTATTCCCTTTCCATGGTTGCCTAGAAACCATAATCTTATTTCCCTGGCCCGCCCTCTTTTCTTTTCTCTTGTGCATGTTGAGGGTCTGATTCGAAAGTGCTGCAGCTGCAGATGTGTCCATGGTCTGCCCATGTGGCACTGTGGGGGTGAGCACTTTCTATCTGTAGACTTTGAGCTAGACATTTTCATATTCATTATCTCATTTAATTCTCTCACAGAAACCTTATGAGGTTTACTGCTCTCATTTCATGTTCAAGGAAACTGAGTTTCAGAGAAGTGAAAACATTATCCCAAGATCACAAAACTAATAAATAGCAGAGTCAAGTTTCAAATGGTGTGCTTTGACTTTGGTTTTCTTGAGATGAAGTAGTCATGAAGGCGGGTTCCGGTTCTAGTTTCTTCCTTTGAGTCTCCAAGCTTTTCACCTGTTTCTTGGCCTATTTAGCAACGCACATCAGGTTCCCAGACTCTGCCTAGGCTCTGCTCATGAATCTAAGATACTGGGGATGGGGATGAGAGGTGATAGAAAGAGTCAGGAAAGCTAAGTTCAGATCTCAACTTCATTGCTTACTAAACTGAGTTCTAATGCTCTCATTTGCAAAATAGTGATAGTAACATGGATCTCCTGTGAGAGTTCAGTAAGGAAAGATGTGTTAGAATGCAGTCAAGGCACCTGGCCCATAGTAGAAGGTGCTCAGAACACTGAATTTGAACCTGACTTCTGATTCTAACATCTTCTGGGATCAGCCCAGATCTGGCTATATCCTGGAAACATAAGTTATATTCAGGGCATTTTGTGTCATATTTGGCAGCAAAGAATCCCAGTTTTCCCAGGGCTTCTTATGTAGACAAATCCACTAAAAGATGACATAGCTTCAAATGCAACACTTCACTGAAAGACTTAGGGTCCGTTTAATTCAGTGGTTTTCCAAATTGTTTTTATTAGCAAATGCTTATTTTTAAAACAAGTCTGATAAAGAACTGCATTATACAAAACTAACCAATGAGATCTTCTCTACATGGAGAGATGCTGAGAGCCCTGGAATCTGCCAGCTCAGACTTTTAACACAACATTTCTCCTTCTAAACCCTGAGGTTTTGTAGAGCAGGATTTGAAAACCACTGGTAATACTAACAATCTCACTTTGTAGACAAGGAAACTAAGGCCCAGGAAGAGTTACTTACTAGAATGAATGCATCTACTCTAATGTATAAACAAATCATCTTCAACAACTTAGCTTGATCTTATATTTGCCTGTATAGCAATATGAGAGAAAAATGCATGTGTTTTATTTCTCTTTACAAAGGGATTTATTCTCCCTTCCTCTCTCTCTCAGAGATTATATAATAATGACTGTGTTCAGTAAGATGATTCTAACATTTAAATGGAAATGCAGAAAATAGAATAGCAAAAGCAGTTTGGAAAAAGACGTTGAAGGGCTTATACTACCTGATTTCAGGATGCATTATAAAGCTACAGTAATCAAAACAGTATAGTATTAACATAAGAGTATCCATAGAGCTCAGGGAAACAGCATAAATTGTCTAGAACAGACTCAAAAATATGCCAAGGTAATTCAATGGAAAAACAATAACTTTTTTAACAAGCTAGATAGGAACAATTGGATATGGATATGGGAAGAAATGAATTTTGACCTTTATGTTATCTCATATACAAATTAACTCAAAAAGGATCCAAAGCCTATATATATATGATATAATTTCAAGAAGAAAACCTAGGAGAAAAATCTTTACAATCTTGAAGGCAGGAATTTCTTAAGACACAAAATGCAATAACTATAAAAGAAAAAAACGTTTGAAATTATAAACAAAAATGTTTTTGCTCTTTTAAAGTCACTGTAAGCTGGACATGGTGGCTCACACCTGTAATCCCAGCACTTTGGAAGGCCGAGGCAGGTGGGACACTTGAGGCCAGGGGTTCAAGACCAGCCTGGCCAACATGGTGAAACCTCATCTCTACTAAAAATACAAAAATTAGCTAGGTGTTCTGGTGCATGCCTGTAGTCCACCTACTCGGGAGGGTGAGGCACAAGAATCACTTGAACCCGGGAGGTGGAGATCGCGGGGAGCCAAGATCATGCCACTGCACTCCAGCCTGGGTGACAGAGCGAGACTCTGTCCCCAAAAAAACCCAAACAAACCCCACAAAGTCACTGTAGGGACTATGAAAGGGCAAGCCAGGACTGGACGTGGTGGCTCACATCTGTATTCCCAGCACTTTGGGAGGCTGACACGGGTGGATCACTTGAGGTCAGGAGTTCGAGACCAGCCTGGCCAACATGGCAAAACACCGTCTCTACTAAAAATACAAAAATTAGCTGGGCTTGTTGGTGGGCACCTGTAATCCCAGCTACTTGGGAGGCTGAGGCAAGAGAATCTCTTGAACCTGGGAGGCAGAGGTTGAGGAGGTGGAGGTTGCAGTGAACCAAGATCACACCATTGCACTCCAGCCTAGGCAACAGAGTTAGACTCCTCCGTCTCAAAAAAAAAAAAAAAAAAAAAAAAGGAAAGCCATAATTCAGTGTAGTTCTATAAAGGTATAGTTCACAGTACCTACATGTGACTAAAAAACTTGTTTCCAGACTATGAAAAGAACTCATACAAAGCAATAATAGGAAGATAAATAAACCAATAAAAAAGGACAAAATATTTGAACAGACACAAAAAGAAGATACATAAATATCCACTAAAGCATGTGAAAATATGCTCGAGATTGCTAATCATCAGGAATGTAAGTAAAACCAAAACAACAGATTACTACACATCCCTAAATGACTAAAGTTAAGAGGACTGATAATACCAAATGTCGGCGGAATGTGGAAAAATTAAACTCTAATACATTGTTGGAGGGGGTATAAAATAGTATAGCCACTTTAGAAAACAATTTGGCAGTTTCTTGAAAAATTAAAATTCACTTTACCACCCAACAATTCCACTCCTAGGTATTTACCCAAGAAAAATGGAAACATATGTCTACAAAAAGACTTGTACAAAAATGTCCATAGCAGCTTTATTAATGATAACCACATACTGGAAACAACCCAACTGTTTATCAACAGGTGAATGAATAAACAAATAGATGTATAATTCTGATACAACAGTAAAGATATATCTTAAAACTAATATGCTGATGAAACAAGCCAGACACAAAAGCCAGACACATCCATATTGCATGGTTCCATTCACATAAAATTCTAGAAAAGGCAAAAACTAATGTATACTTACAGAAAGAATTAGCCCCAGTATTAATTAGGGTTGGGAAAAAGGATTTACTGTGAAGAGGCACAAGGTAATTTTTGAGGTTGATAGAAACATCCCATCTCTTTGATGGTATTGATATGAATGTATACATTTGTCAAAAAATCTTTAAACTGTACAGTTAAAATGGGTGAGTCTTATTGTGTCTAAATCACACCTTAATGAAGATTTAGAAAGTGAAATATTTTGCTATGATTGTAACGTAAAAAAATCTTTAATCACTTTGACGAAAGCAAGATACAAAAATTGTGGGCAGTCTGATTATAACTTACTAAAGTATGCATAAAATAATAATTGAAAACTCAACAAAAATCTGTTCAGGGTCATGATTAGCCATGACCTATTTCACACTCAAATATATTTTATTGAGCTTTCATTTGAAATTTTAACCATTTCACTGATGTCACACAAATAAAAAAGTATCTGCTGATACACATCAAAGATATATGAATCTGCAAATATTCAGAACCATTTTTGGCAAAAATGATACTACAATAGTAGCTGCAAAATTAAAGGAGAGAAGTAATAGATTTTTATTTAACAAAACTAGATTTTGAAAAGCAATGTTTTAAAATACAGTATTACCTAGAAAAATGTCTAAATCCTGTACATAAGCCAGAGCCCAGGGACTCATCATTACAAACTTGTACTCTAGACTAGTTTGAGATCGTCTAGATTCTAGTCTTGTCTTTGGAAACTCAATTAGTCTAGGGAAATCCGAAAGTTAAGAAACCCTATGTGTCGCAAAAATACGATCAAATGAGCAAGTTTGTTTCCCCCTGAACTTCACATTACATCTCATCTCAGGGTGATGTATTCAAATTCTCCCAATCCAAGCACTCCTGCATAGTCTTCTAGGAACAAGCACTTCAAAGTTTTACAGAAGAGCATACAGAAACTTTATTATTAAGGGGGATATATGCAGTAGAGAAAGTAATTTTAAGTAGTCCATTTAAAGTTTTAAAGTTTTTGGTATGTAAAATCTCAGCAGCATAGCAAGGTGTAATCTTTGGGCTATGTAACTTCATTCAATTCCCTCTATTTATATAACTACCTAGGGTTGACATCAAGCATATTTTTTCAAAACGTCTTCTAATTCCAGGTTTGCAATTCAACTGAAAAAAAATCAAAGACACCTGAGAACATTTTATGACTTAAAAAGTTTTCTTTTCTTGAAATAAAAACTACTGCTGGAGATCTCTCCTCCCATATCTTATCAGCTCAACTACCTAGTGTGATTTGAATCACCCGAACCTCAGCTTAAGGAAGAGAGAGAGAGAGAAAAGAAAAACCTTTGGTAAAGTAAGTTCCTTTGATCCTTTTCTGCTACTTATGAAAACTCACACTGTATGTTTAACACATTCCCAACAAGCCAGGATAATGAAGCACATGGGACACGGAGACTTAATTCCATGTCTGTTTCTTTATTTAAAAAACACACATACTCTACGGGCTGGGCGAAGAATAGACCAGTCTAGCTAGGAGTGAACAGTAAGAAGCAGTTGTGATTGCCGAGTTGGGAGATATCATTAAAAAGCAAACTGGGGAGCTCCCGTTTAGGATCTGAGGAGATTATTGATTCAAATCCTTTAAGGCATTCTTCAAAGGACTTCTTAAAAAGTTGTATTGTCTGAGGAGTTTGGGGAGAGTATTTGAGTCAGTGTGTGTGTGTGTCTGTGTGTATGTGTGTTACACAAGGGTGGAGATTAGTGGTTGGGAGGGCTGTATCTATGTGAGGTATGGGGGTGGTGGGGTGAGTTATGTGCATGGATTGTGAATAACTTTAAAGCCAGTCTGAATAAATAAGGTAATTTCATAACAGGTTTTCTAATTACTGACTTAGGTTTTGACTCCTTGATAATTCTGCCTCCATAGCTATAATCCAAGGTCCTTCGTGAATTGGCCTTTCCTCTCATTCCATACGATCTTCTACACTCCCCAGATTGCTGGAACTAAGAGTATGTGCTGTCAGATCCGACTGTCTGGGTTCAAATACATGCTCATTTGCAAGCTATGTGGCACTGTGCAACCCAGTTAACTTCACCAACTCTCAGTTTCCTCATAAATAACATAGAAATAATATCTACATCATGGGACTGTGGATTCTATTAGATAATTGCGTATGATGTGTCTTAAGTGCTCAATATGGTCAGCTGTGCAACTCAAATTTATTTTAATTCAGTAAATATTTATTTGAAAGTTTTCTGTGCAATAGGTATAGACTGTTCTCCTTTCAATTTGCATATGAGACATTGTATTAGTTTTCTAAGGCAACCGTAACAAAATACCACAGACCAGGTGGCTTAAACAATAGAAATTTACTTTCTCACAGTTCTGGAGGCTGGAAGTCCAAGGTCAGGGTGTTGGCAGTGTGGGTTTCTGGTGAGGCCTCTGTCCTTGACTTACAGATAGCACCTTTTCTCTGTGTCCCTACATGGCTTTTTCCCTGTGCAAGGATATCCCTGGTTTCTTCCTCCTCTTATAAGGACACCAGTGAAATTGGAGTAAGGCTCACCCTAATGGCCTGATTTTAAGTTAATTACCTCTTTAAGGACCTTATCTCCAAATGTAGTTGCATTCTGTGGGACTGGGAGTTAGGGCTTCAACATATGAATTTTGGAAGAGACATAATTCAGCTTTTTGTGAGTAACAAGTCATAACTCTGCTGTTTGAAACAAAGAGTTGCAGAGCCTGGAATGTGTTCCTCTATCTTTCCACTTGGTGACCTCTCTCTTACGTTCATTTAGCCCAGCTCACGAAACTATTTCCTCTGCACAGTTTCTGTTGAACTCACATACATAGCTAGATGCAATTCCTTAGATATAATCTGTTATAGCAATTAGTATATTACATTTACTCCATCTAATATAGATACATATATAAATATACACAAATGTATGTATATATATGTACACATATAAACATATATGGATAGAGAAAGAGATGGGTTTTTTTTGTCCATTTCCCCAGCTAGAATGAAAGCTCCATGGAGAAAAGTACTACTTTGATCACCACTGCATTCCCAGAGCCTAGAACATAGCTTTGACAACAATAAGTGCTGATTTTCCTATTCTTATCAGCTGTGAGGTCCAATATTCAGTAGCTCCTTAAGAGCAGAAAGTGTGTCTGCCTACCCTCCATTGCTTGCTTAACAAATCTTTGTTGAACAAAATAATGAAGGTTTTTACAGGCTGACATTCAATTCTTTGAAATTATTTGTGTGGATTACAATTGGAGAAGTTAACATGCTTATTTTGATCCAGAAAGAGGAACATAAACATACATCCTTTTGATTATGAGGCCATAGTTTAATGGGAAGAAAGGCTTCTGAGTAAAAAAACTGAGCAGAGTTTGAGACCAATTGCTAACAGCATGTTCCTCTCTTTGAGATTTTCTTTTTTGCACACAAACTTGGTTTGATAGGTTTGACTGACTTGACCATGCCTTGAGGCAAAGAAATATGATAACCATGTACCTAGGGGTGGATTAAGACAAAATAAGGGGCCATCACAGGGCTCTATCCAATTCTGGCTCTCCACAACTCCCTCTGGGTAAATCCTATAGCTTACACCTGTCCAAGGCAGCAGAAACCTAGACCATCACATCTGTCAGTGGCTGCCCAAATAATTAAAGCCATCTGTGCCCAGCATCTCAACACTTCTCAGAATCAGTGTACAGCTCCATAGTTTTTCCCATAAGAAATATCTGCAGAATCATGATGGTTAAACAATTTTTTTCAAAATGAAAATCAGAAAGATAAATTCTCTTCAATCCATCTTGACGTTATCAACAAAAAGTCCCATTAAATACAGCAGCTGAGATGTTAGGGAAGTCTTCACGATGGAGTTGCTAAATCTCCAAATCAAGTTAGAAGTCAGTGCATGTATTTGCCTGTATTGTTTTGTTCAGCATAGGGAATCCAACCTACCTGCTTTCTTTGTGTATCTAGTGATGAATATGTTGACTGATTGGAATGCAGCCAAATGCTATTTCATGTTGCGTCTTCTCCTCAGGGTATTATGGGGCCATGCAGGGCAGTATGGAAAAGAACAACACATGGTTAAGAACTCAGGCTCTGGAGTGAAGCACACTTGAATGGCAGTCCGAACCTTGTCAACTACTTGACCTTGGGTAAATTACTTGACCTTGCTACATTTGTTTCTTCATCTGTAAAATGGAAATGATAATATCTACTTTATTCCTTATGGTGAAGATTACATGAGAAAATCTATGTTACTTACCTACCAGACTATTGGTACATGGTCAGCACGCAATAAGTGTTAGTTAATACAGTTTTTGTTATTGTGGTTGTTACTACTGCCACATCATACAGCCTCTACTGAAAAGTCCTGGCTTTCAGTAGACTTAAAAAGGACAATGATTGTGAGACAGGCTCACAATTTTCCACATTCAATAGAATTGCCATGTCGTTGAGTCTGACTTGGTAATTAATTGGTAAAGTCTCTGAGATAAGGTGATATGATTAGCTCAGAACCATTCCACCTTTGATTACTCAATTAGAAACCAAACTTTATAAGATGCTTTCTATCTGCCAGATGCCGTCTTAGGTTCATTTTCTCTCCAGTGATTATTTAAGCCCCAAGAGAATCCTGTGAAGTAGCTGTTGTGAATGCTGTCCCTCTCCCACACGTTAGCCTACTGGCTTTCCAGTGGTCACACACCTAATATTGTCAAAGCTGTGAGTGTTTTGTGGACACATGTTTTTTTGTTTATTTGTTTTTGGTTTTCGTTTTGTTTTGTTTTATTTTGTTTTTCCCTTTCAGAATCGTTTTGGTTAACCTCTTTTCACTCATTCTCAATAATCCAGTTTAATCCCTTTGATTTGAGTGCGACTGAATTCATCCCTCCTGGGGCTAAAGGGATGGTAATAAAGACCTAGGACTGACCAATCCTACTAGCTACAGAGAGTTCTGTGGCACGGCTAACTTATTTCTGAACAACTCACATTGAGAGAAAAAGGGCTGCTTTTCTCCTTGAAATTGCAAGAAAGTATATCCATGGAAACGTGGAGAACTTGAACATTATACATATTGCCACTCACCTCGAGCATACTTAAAAATGAAGATTCCACAGATGAAAGAAAAGAGAGAGATCGGATAACATCTTTTGAACCCTGAGCTGTAGTTGTGCCTGAAACTAGTTAGGTAAAGTAATAGATTATCACTGTCTCAGGCTACGTTGAATTGAGTACCCTGCTAATACAGTTCTAGCCAACACAATTGGACCTGTAGAACTCCATACACCTTCATCACACAATTTAAGAATGTATGGTTAGAACAAAGGATTCCTCTTCTGTGCAAAAGGCTTTTCTATGCACTAGCCTTATTTGGGGGCACTAATATTCTCCTAAATAAGTTGGTATAACTCCTATATTTAGATGCATATAAGTCCATAAAATGTCTATATATTCTTTAAACTGATTTGATTGATCTCCTCCTTAGATTTCAGTTTCATTTAGCAGTGAAGCAGCTTTATAGTTTATACAAAATAAAATACTTGTATTGAGATGGCTCTAGTATGGTTTCTAGTTTAGTTTAATTTTGTTTTTTAATAAACTGTAACTAACTTTTTAGGGGAAACGCTAACTTTGATGCCTGAAGATATATGTTGAACTACCAGCTCTGTTACTTTGCAGCTGTGTGAACTTGGACAAATAGTCCAGCTTTGTGGAACCTGTTTCTCCTTATTTATAAATGGATATAATAATACCTACATCACAGGGTTAATACAAGAGTTAAATAAGATTGTGCTTACAACACAGTAATATTCTGTAAATGATAATGCACTGACTTGGAATATAACATACAATGCAAAGTAGGCATGCACAATATAATTTTTTTTTTTTACTTTAAGGTCTAAGGTACATATGCAGAACGAGCAGATTTGTTACATAGGTATACATGTGCCATGTTGGTTTGCCACACCCATCAACTCGCCATTTACATTAGGTATTTCTCCTAATGCTGTCCCTCCCCCAACCCCCAACCCCACAACAGACCCTGGTGTGTGATGTTCCCTGCCCTGTGTCCAAGTGTTCTCACTGTTCATTTCCCACTTATGAGTGAGAACATGCAGTGTTTGGTTTTCTGTCCTTGTGATAGTTTGCTGAGAATGATGGTTTCCAGTTTCATCCATGTCCCTCCAAAGGACATGAACTCATCATTTTTTATGGCTGCATAGTATCCCATGGTGTATATGTGCCACGTTTTCTTAATCCAGTCTATCACTGATGGACATTTGGGTTGGTTCCAAGTCTTTGCTATTGTGAATAGTGCCACAATAAATGTATGTATCCATGCGTCTTTATAGTAGCATGATTTATAATCCTTTGGGTATATACCCAGTAATGGGATCACTGGGTCAAATGGCATTTCTAGTTCTAGATCCTTGAGGAATCACCACACTGTCTTCCACAATGGTTGAACTAATTTACACTCCCACCAACAGTAGAAAAGTGTTCCTATTTCTCCACATCCTCTCCAGTATCTGTTGTTTCCTGACTTTTTAATGATCGCCATTCTAACTGGTGTGAGATGGTATCTCGTTGTGGTTTTGATTTGCATTTCTCTGATGGCCAGTGATGATGAGCATTTTTTCATGTGTCTTTTGGCTGCATAAATGTCTTCTTTTGAGAAGTGTCTGTGCATATCATTTGCCCACTTTTTGACGGGGTGGTTTATTTTTTTCTTGTAAATTTAAGTTCTTTGTAGATTCTGGATATTAGCCCTTTGTCAGGTGGGTAGATTGCAAAAATTTTCTCCCATTCTGTAGGTTGCCTGTTCACTCTGATGGTAGTTTCTTTTGCTGTGCAGAAGCTCTTTAGTTTAATTAGATCCTATTTGTCTATTTTGGCTTTTGTTGCCATTGTTTTTGGTGTTTTAGTCATGAAGTCCTTGCCCATGCCTATGTCCCGAATGGTATGGCCTAGGTTTTCTTCTAGGGTTTTTATGGCTTTAGGTTTAACATTTAAGTCTTTAATCCATTTTGAATTAATTTTTGTATAAGGAAGGGATCCAATTTTAGCTTTCTACATATGGCTAGCCAGTTTCCCTAGCACCATTTATTAAATAGGGAATCCTTTCCCCATTTCTTGTTTTTGTCAGGTTTGTCAAAGATCAGATGGTTGTAGATGTGTGGTGTTATTTCTGAGGCCTCTGTTCTGATCCATTGGTGTACATATCAGTTTTGGTACCACTACCATACTGTTTTGCTTACTGTAGCCTTGTACTATAGTTTGAAGTCATCATAATGCCTCCAGCTTTGTTCTTTTTGCTTAGGATTGCATTGGCAATGCGGGCTCTTTTTTCGTTCCATTTGAACTTTAAAGTAGTTTTTTCCAATTCTGTGAAGAAAGACATTGGTAGCTTGATGGGAATGGCATTGAATCTATAAATTACCCTGGGCAGTATTGCCATTTTCATGACATTGATTCTTCCTATCCATGAGCATGGGATGCTTTTCCATTTGTGTGTCCTCTTTTATTTCCTTGAGCAGTGGTTTGTAGTACTCCGTGAAGAGGTCATTCACATCCCTTGTAAGTTGGATTCCTAAGTATTTTACTCTCTTTGTAGCAATTGTGAATGGGAGTTCACTCATGATTTGGCTCTCTGTTTGTCTGTTGTTGGTGTATAAGAATGCTTGTGATTTTTGTACATTGATTTTGTATCTTGAGACTTTGCTGAAGTTGCTTATCAGCTTAAGGAGATTTTGGACTGAGACAGTGGGGTTTTCTAGATTTACAATCATGTCATCTGCAAACAGGGATAATTTGACTTCCTCTTTTCCTAATTGAATACCCTTTATTTTCTTCTCCTGCCTGATTGCCCTGGCCAGAACTTCAAACACTATGTTGAATAGGAGTGGTGAGACAGGGCATCCCTGTCTGCACAAATATAATTTTAAAGGTCTGGGTAAATACTTTTTCTTAAGAACCAGTTTAACTTGGTAAATAGTGTCATAGCCTGGGATTTTATGATTATCATTTTTATGATTTTATGATTATCATTTTACCATTATTTTATGATTATCATTGTACTTTTTCTCTTTGCAAAAAATTTTAAAATTATACAGAGTATACAAAGAAGAAGCAATAATCACCCATACTCCCCTCTCCAAATCAATCATTTTCAAGATTTTTGGCATATTTGATTATCTTTTTTCAATATCTACCAATGTTTATTTTTAAATTTATGCAAACAATAAGGCAATTATAATTAAAAACATTTAGCCCATTACAGATTAAATCATAGTCTCCCAAAAACTCTGTGCCCATACTGACATCTTCCCACCAATATTAAGGGTATCCTCCATGATAAATTTGTCAGATGAAATAATTCTCAAAATCTTTGTTTTTCACACATACTAGATATTGGGAGAAATATTAACTATTGGCTATTGTTTGTTTATGATTGATTCTTGTTAATATGTACAAATCTACTTTATTCCTTTGAATACTTTATAGTAATTCTGTTTGTAGAATTGTATTCACCCATTACTCTATAAATACATATTAAAATTGTTTTTAGTTTTTTTTTCCATATGGGAAACAATACAATACTTCCTCAAGTATTTCATTTCTCTATGCAAGTTTTTCTCCAGAATGGTAGGTAGAAAGAAATTTCTGGAGCCTCGGATAAATAATCTGATACTACCATCTTGCCCTTCAGTTAGATTGTGCTAATTTAAAGACCATGAGTAACTATACTTAATTTTACTCTTTTTGTCTACATTTGATATTATCAAACTTTTTATCTTGTCAAACTGGTAGCAGAATGGTAGTTCATTATTATAATTTACATTTTCTGATTGTTACTGGGGCAGAACCATTTTTATAGAGTGATTCTGATTTTATCTTTTGTGATTACCTACCTGTTCATGTATTTTAAACTATATTTTCATTGACTTTTATAAGTTTAGATATATGTGAATTATTTAAAAATTTCAGATGCTCACTTTGGTCTGTTTTGTGTCTGAATATTTTACAGCTGTAAGTATTTCCTCCCAGATTATTTCTTGTATTTCATTTAGTTTTGTTTTGTTTTACCTTTGTTTATGGTATCTTTGCTTGCCATAGAGTAGTTTTAAATTTAGAATGATCAAATTTCCATTTTTTCCTTTTCATTTTTGCTACATATCTGATTTTTAAAAAGTCTTCTTGCCTCCAGGGTTATATTATTTTGTTTCATTATCTTCACATAAAATTACTTTTATTTCTCCAAATATGGGTCTTTAATTCAACTTGAATTTATTTCTGCCTGTGAGTAAAACAATGTTTAGGATTCTCAGCCTATACCATTGTTCTTGAAATAGCACCACACCATTTTAAGTACTGTAGTTTTTGTTCGTTTTTTTGGGATGCATTAATTTCTGGAATGATAAAAATGGCCTTTATTGTATTTGTAATGCTCATGTATAAGGCATAAAGGGGCTTCTAATTAATGAGCACAGCTGTGTGCTGAGCAAGGTGGGTGGAAGACCTTTTCATATTTTATCTCATATTATGCTCATGTCACCTATATGAAGGAAATGATACTAGCTGATCTTACAGATGAGGAGACAGAAGCTCAGTGGACAGAGTTAACTTTCTCAGCAACACACAGCTTGTCAACAGTGGAGTGAAGATTTGAATACCATGTCTATCTTACTCCAAAAGGGGTAACCTGGCATCTCTCACACGTAGGTCCATACCATACTTGAAAAACATCAAAATACCTGCTAATTCCTTTCTGTTTTAAAGCTGTGTTATTCCTAATATTGCAGGAAGATTTGAATACCATGTCTATCTTACTCCAAAAAGGGTAACCTGGCATCTCTCACACGTAGGTCCATACCATACTTGAAAAACATCAAAATACCTGCTAATTCCTTTCTTTTTTTAAAGCTGTGTTATTCCTAATATTGCAGGAAGCTGAAAGATGGCACTGTACTTTAATTAGCTATGTGTAAGTTGTGTTGAGGACAAGAAAGATAAGGAAGTAGAGCCTGTGGTGAAGTTGACCAACTATTACTTATTTTAAGGAATAGTACAGCCTTCATCCCACCCCCACCCCTTAGGCTCAAGCTTTCTTATTCTCCATAATTAGTTCCAAATGTTCTTCAGTTTTCAGCTGTCTTCTCCTTCTCTAGACAGAAATCTAATGCCAGCAACGGGCACCAAGGCTTCCCTTTGGCCTTTGCTCTTTATGACCGGGTCACTGCCTTTAGCAATTAGAAAATCATGGACAATTTCATCTGTCACACACTCCTGCATTTGACTCTGACCTCTATCTGGAATCTGAAGTTTCCTGGACCAATCTGCCATTTTCCACATGGACTTCCTTCCTGGTGTTGCAATGGAAAGGAATGTCCAAAAGACTTTGGAATAAGGGTGCAAAGGTTCCTGGCTATAGATTATCCACTCAAGGCTTTGAAATTTTCCAGTTTTCATCTGAGAAGCTGATAGTTAAATTTATCAGGTTGTTCTCTTTGCCAGGGAATAGAAGTCTAGACTTACCCCTCCCTTTCTTTCGAAGAAGAATGAAGACCTGTCTTTGTTGATTTATGATCTTGGAAAGAAGAGAAGGGCACAAGATAAAATGAGAGATGTGGAATGCTATGATAAAGTGGGTAACACCTGAGGAATCTCTCCTGCCTAGAGACAAGAGAGATCTTACAGGCTACTGAAGACAGGCAGGTTTTGTTTTTTCCCAAAGTCTTAAAATGTGCAACTGCATCTACTCTGACTTATCCCATACTGAGGACTTTGAAGTCTCACCAGATTTACCTGAGCTGGCAGCTGAGTCTTAAGGAGAGATTTCTAAACATGAAGAAGCTTTCTCTTCAAATTGAATGGGTCAGTTCCATTTCCTGTAGCATAATTGAGTAAGAATATGTTCTTGTCTTTTCAGATAGCAAGTGAATGATAGAAATTATTATATATGAAAGACAAAACACTTCACAGGGAAGGAAGTTTACAAGGCAAGCTGGACCTAAGTTTGGCCTGGCCGTTCCTTTGGCTATTTGACTTACACCTTGACTGGTCTTTTTGTATCTGAATCCTATGGCACACACATGGAGTGAGAACACAGTACCATAGTAATGGCAACAGTAAGGGGGGTAGGCAGGGAGTAAGGAGAGTAAATTCACAAGGGCAACATGCCCTTGTTTGCTCACCAGATTTTGGAGAACAGCCAGCCATTCAATGCAATGATCACTTGGTCATATTACTGAATACAGAAGATTGTGTTCATATCACTAAGCAGGCTGTTTTCTTCCACACAGAACACTTCAGAGCCTAACCTTGAGAAAAGTTAAGGATGCTCTGTATAGCCCAGTGTCCCTGAAATACTGAATGTGTAGCTGAGGGTCAGATTGCAAGAATGGGAATCAGCTCAACTGCATTCAAGTTGCAGCTCTGCCTTTTCCTATGTTATCTCAGGTGGGTCTTCCCCATTTTTGACTGGGTTTCTGATAAGTAAAATGATGACTTAAACTAGGTAAGTTCTAACATCCTTTCAAGATCAAAAGAAATATGGTGCTGTTAACAAATACTTTTTAGCTGCAAAGTATCATATTTCTTTGTGCCAGGGAATCATAGATGAGAGATTGTTGCTAAGCATGAAGTAGTGCAAATAGAAAAGCCATCCAGGGCTGATATTACATTAGTCCTTTAAGTCATTGATCCTTATTCAAATTTAAGAAAATGTGGGGACAGTATTAAATTAGCTGTGATATGTGGCCTCTGTTTATGGTCACCACCAGCCACTTGAAGAAAATCCCTTTCTTTCCTCAGACTTAATTGGTTTGGGGCACTGTAGTCCCCTACTGTCATTGTTACCTTATTCAGTATGAGCTCAGGGGCAATTATCTGTGTATGTGTAAAGCAAACTAGATAGGCCTAGTTACTAGGAGTACCTTTTATCAAAACATTCCCCAACTATGTTCAGAGAGAAGGATTGGCATTCTGAGAAACTTAGCTTTCTTGAGATATGCTTGAGAATCAGCACATATTAAGAAAAAATGTAGAAATAAAAACTTATTATCTATAGCCCTGGAAGTTCTGCTTCTGTTAACGGCCAAGTAAGCTCATATCAGACTAACTGTTCTGCAAATAACAACTATAAACTCCAAAATAAAAATATAAAAATAATTAACTGAAGGCTAAAGAGGGAACAAACACAGGGACATTCTAAAGGTAAGTCCATATTTGGAAAAAGGAAATAACATTTTGTTTTCTCCTGAGTGTGTGTGTGTGTTAGCTAGAAAAGAAGCTGTAGTCTGCATTCAGGTTAGCTTAAATTCCAATATAAAAGCTGCAATTGATCTCTAAAGAACTACTATCTACTATGTGGAGCTCAGGATAATTATAGTTGCTGGAGAGTGAGAGGGGAGAGGAGTACTGGAAAAAAATGAGAACTAGAAAGGGGAGCCATAAATTCTCTGCGTAACTCTATATAAATCTCTGGTTGACCCTAGAACCATGCATGCACAAAGCAGACGACAATCAGCCTAGCTAAGCCTAAATAACTGATCTGATGTTTGAGGTACTGCCCAAGAAACAAAGTTTACTGTCTGAGGCCAAGTTAATTGCCTGCTTAAAGAACTCAATACTCTTCGGAGAAATATAAAAGAATCCAGAGTCTACATTATAACGTTTCCAATGTCCAAAATATAACCGAAAATTAGCATATGAAAAAAGAACAAAGTGTAACCCATTATTAAAGACAATCAACAGGTGCTAGGAAAATTAGATATCCATATGCAGAAGAATGAAACTAGATTCCTATTTCTCACCATATACAAAAATCAACTCAAATTGAACTGAAGACAAATGTAAGCCCTTACACTGTGGAAGTACTAAATGAAAGCATAGGAGAAATGCTTCACAGTATCAATACGGCCAAGGATATTTTGGATAAAATCTTAAAAACACAGCAAAAATGAACAAATGAGATTACATCAAATGAAGGAGATTCTGAACAGCAAAGAAATAATTAACAGAATGAAGTCTCCTAGCATCATTATCTTATTCAGTGTGAGAAAACATTATTATCTCCTTTAAAAATGAGAAAATTAACATTCAGAGAATTACTTTTGTGCCCAAGTATGCACAGCTAGTGAATACTGAAGACGAAACTTGAACCCATAGTTGTCTGATTTCAGAACTTGCATTATTTCTGTAATACTGCTTCTAACTGAAGTCCATATGTGAAAAGAGTCTTTGTTTAGATTTTAAGGGCAACTCTTTTTGTTTATCACCAACCATGTATAAATTTACTTTTCATTATTTGTTTTATGTCAGAATGTAGAAGGTTCGTTCATTCTATCTTTTATTTAATACCATTTGTAGACTGTCTCCATGTCTATCATTGGTTAGAGGTGAATCAGAAAATAATAACAAAATGGCAGACTTAAGCCCTATAATATCAATAGTTACCTTAAATGCAAATAGTCTAAATACACAAGTTAAAGACATTGTCAGTGCAGATTTAAAACTATGACCCAACTATGTATCTAAAATGAACCTCACTTCAATGCAGTGACATGGGTATGTTCAAGGTAAGAGAATAAAAAAAGATATATAAACATGTTTTCTTTAAAAAAGCAGAAGCTATTGTAGTAATATTAGATAGTGTAGATTTTGGAGCAAAGGAAATTATCGGAGATAGAGAATATCATTACAGATTAATAAAAGGATCACTTCTTCAGAAAGGTGCAATAATCCTAAATATGTGCACATCAAATAACAGAGCCTCAAAATATATGAAGTAAACACTGACAGAGCTAAAATGGATAAATCCACAATTATAGATGGGGACTTCAACATCCCATTCTCAGCAATTGATGGTACTAACAGACATAAAACAGCAAAGATGTAGAAAAGAAAAAGACACCAGGATCTAATTAGGATATATGGAATACAAAATAACATAGTTTTTATGCAAGCACTCATGGAATATTCATTAAGACAGATTATATCCTTGGCCATAAAACAAATCTCAAAAAATATAAAAAGGTGAAATCATACATGGCATATACTCTGACCATAATGGAATCAAACTACAAATCAATAACAGAAAGCAAAAGGAAACTCTTCAAGAACTTGGAAATTAAACAAAACCCATATAGATGATCTTTAGGTCAAACAGGATGTCTCAAATGAAGCAAAATAGATATGAAACTCAATAAAGCTGAAAGTACAACACACCAAAACATGCATGATGCAGCTAAAGCAATGCTAGTAGGGAATGTTATAGCACTAAAGACTTACTACATTTAGCCAAGGAAAAATGTCTCAAAAAATTCTAAATTTCTACCTGAAAAAAAACTGGAATTAAACTAAAAAGCTTCTGACTAGCAAAAGAACAGAGTGAACAGGCAGCCTTCGGAATGGAATAAAATATTTGCAAACTATGCATCCAAAATGGGGCTAACATCCAGAAATTATGAAGAAACTGAACAACTCAACAACAACAACAGCAAAAATAATTCACTTAAAAAGTGGGCAAAGGATACTTTTCAAAAGAAGACATACAAATGGCCAAGCATATGAAAAAATGCTCAACATCACTAATCATAGGAAAGCATATGAAAATATGCTCAATATCACTAATCAGATAAATGCAAATTAAAATCACAATATAATATCATCTTACACCAGTTAGAATGGCTATTATTAAAAGGTCAAAAAACAGCAGATGTAGGTGAGGATGTGGAGAAAAAGGAATGCTTATACGCTGTTGTTGGGAATGCAAATTAGTGCAACCTCTATGGAAGAAAGCATGGAGATTTCTCAAAGAACTAAAACTAGAACTGCTATTCAAGCCAGGAATCCTGTTACTGGGTATCTACCCAAAGGAAAAGATATCATTGTATCACAAAAATATCTGTACTCCTATGTTTACTACAATACTCTTCACAATAGCAAAGATATGGAATCAACCTAAGGGTTCATCAACAGATGATTGGATAAAGAAAATGTGGTACATATCGACACAATGGAATAGTATTCATCAATAAAAAAGAATGAAATCATGTATTTTGCAGCAACATGGATGGAACTGGAGGCCATTATCTTATGTGAAACAACTCAGAGCCACATACTGCATGTTCTCAGTTATAAGTAGGGGTGCACATGGACACAGACTGTGGATTAATAGGCATTGGAGACTTGGAGAGGTGGGAGAGTAGGAGAGGAATGAGGAATGAGAAATTACTTAATGGGTACAATGTACATTATTCAGGTAATAGTTACCTTAAAAGCTCAGACTTCATCACTGTGCAATATATCAGTGTAACAAAACTGCACTTGTATTCCTTAAATTTATGCAAAGAAAAGGGAGCAAAATAAACTGAACCAAGTAGATGGAAGGAAATGATGAAGATAAGAGAAAAAGAAAATGAAATTGAAAACAAGAAATGGAATACAGAAAAATCAGTGGAACAAAAAATTGGTTCTTAAATCAGTAAAATTGATAACCCTCTAGTAGAATGAATTAATTTTTTTAATGGAGCAACAAATCACCAATATCAGAAAAGAAACAGGGTATATCACTACAAATCATTCAGCCATTAAAAGATAATAAAGGAATGCTACGAAAAACTTTACATTCATAAATTTCACAACTTTGAAGACATGGATCGATTCCGTGAAAATACAAATGTCAAAAACTCAAAGTGAAATAGATAACCTAAATAGTTATATAATTATGTTTAAAAATTGAATTATTAATTGGCAAAAATCTTCAAGACCATAGAGAAATACTACTAAATATTTTTCAGGAAAATTAATAACCAATTGTACATACTGTCTTCCAGAAAATAAAAGAGGGAACACTTCTAAACACATTGTATAAGGCTAGTATTACCCTGATACCAAAACCAGACAAAGGCAATGCAGAAAAAAAGCAAGCTATACACAATATCTCTCATGACTTTAAGTACAAAATTTTCAAATCAATGTTAGATAATCTAACCTAAGAATGTGTAAAAATTAATATGTACCGTGGCCAAGTGGGATTTACTCCAGGTATGCAAGGCTGGTTGAACACTAACTATCTTTTATTGTAATCCACTATATCAATTGGTTAAAGAAGAAAAAGTATATGATTGTATCAACTGATGCAGAAAAAGCATTTGGCAAAATCCAACAACCCTCCTTGATAAATCTCAGGAAACTAGGAATAGAGAGAATTTCCTGTTTGATCAAGAGCATTTATGAAACAGCTACAGTTACTATTACACTTAATTGTGAAAGACTGAATAGTTTTCCCCAAAGATATGTTCCCTTCAGGAACAAGGCAAACTTATCTAGTCTCATCTTCCTTATTAAACATAATACTAGAAGTTCTGGTCACTGCAATAAGACAAGAAAGTAAAGACATGCAAGTTAGAAAGGAAGAAATAAAGTCAACCCTATTTGCAGGTTACATGATCACATGATTGCCTACGTAGAAAATCTCAAAACTACCAAAAAAAAAAAAAAGTTCCTAGCACTAGTCAGCTCTGCAAGGATGCACAAGGTTGCAGAATACAAGGTCAATGCATACTTGCTAATTTCTGAACTACATACTTATAACAAATAGGAATAAACCAAAAGTAAAATTACTTTACAATTACGAAAGAAAATTTAATACTGAGGCATAAATCTATCAGAACATGTGCAACATATGTATCACAAAAATTACACAATGCTAATAAAACAGCTCAAAGAAGACCTAAATACAGGAAGAAATATTCCATGTTCATGAATTGGAAGACTCAATACAGGAAACATGTTCGTTCTCCCCAAATTGATTTATAGTTTTAATACAATACCTACCAAAATCTCAGAAAAGTTTTTTTTTTGTAGGTAGACACCAGCTTGTACTACAATTTATTTGAAAAAATACAGAATATAATATAGCTAAAATATTTTGAAAGGTAGAAAGTAGGAAGAATTACTCTACCCTATGTTAATGCTACAATATAGCTACAGAAATAAAGTAAATGTGATATTGGACTCGATGCGGTGGCTTATGCCTGTTATCCCAGCACTTTGGGAGGCCAAGGTGGGTGGACTTAGTGTCAGGAGTTCCAGACCAGCGTGAAACCCCATATCTACTAAAAAAAAAAAATACAAAAATTAGCTAGGCGTGGTGGCACCCACATGCAGTTCCAGCTACTCGGGAGGGTGAGGTAGGAGGGTGAGGCAGGAGGATCACCTGAGCCTGGTAGGTGGAGGTTTCACTCAGCTAAGATCATGCCACGGCACTCCAGCCTGGGCAACAGGATGAGAGACTGTCTCAAAAGAAAAAAGTTGGTGGAGAGATAGACGTAGATCAATGAAACAGAACCCCAAAATAGATACACAAAAATATGTGCAATTTATCTATTTATATATTTTTTGAGATGGAGTCTTGCTCTGTTGCCCAGGCTGGAGTGCAGTGGCGCACTCTCTGCTCACTGCAACCTCCACCTCCCAGGTTCAAGGGGTTCTTGTTCCTCAGCCTCCTGAGTAGTTGGGATTACAACAGGTGCACACCACCATGCCTGGCTATGTGCAACCAATTTTTCACAAAGGTTTCAAAGCAATTCAAGAAGGACGGCCTTTTTAACAAATAGTATTGGAAAAAAGTGGACATTCAGAGGCAAAAGAAAAAAAATGAAGCTTGATCTATGCCTCACATTATACAAAAATTAAAGTGGATCATAGACTTAAACAGAAACGTAAAATCACCAAACTTCTAGGAAAAAAAAACATAGGATACATTTTTAAAGACCTACAGTTAAGTTTTTAGACTTGGTACCAAAAGCATGATCCATAAATAAAATTTGATAAATTAGACCATAAAAATTAAGAACTCTTTCTTTGCAATGGATCCTGTGAAGAGCATGAAAACACAAGCTGCAAACTAGACCAGAAGTAATATTTGCAGTCCCCATTTCTGGAAAAGGATTTGTATGTATAATATATAACAAACTTTCAAAACAACAGTAAAAAGATCCAATTTCAACTGGACAAAAGACATTAAAGACATTTCACTGAAGAGGGTATATGGATGGCAAATAAAAACATGAAAATATGTTCAGCATGATTAACTGTTAAAGAAAGACAAGCTAAAGCCACAATGAGATGTTAACACATGCCTATCAGAATGGACAAAATAATAGTGACAACACTAAATTCCAGTGAGGATATAGAGCAACTATGTGATTCATATAGGCCTGGTGAGAATGTAAAACGGTATAGTCACTCTGGAAATCAGTTTGATAGTTTCTTAAAAAAAATAGATATGCTACTCTACCATAATATCCCATAATTGTACTCTTGGATATTTGTCCCAGGGAAATCAAAACTTACATTCACACTAAAATTTATAAACAAATGTTTACATGACCTTTGTTTGTAATAGTCCTAAACTGGAAAAAATCCAAATTTTCTTCAACAGGTGAATAAACATAATGATGCATCCATACCATGGAATACTACTCAGCAATAAAAATAATAAATCACTAATACATGAAACAAATTGGAAGACTCTCAAGGGAATGGTCCTGACTTCAGAAAGCCAAGCTTGAAAGGCCACATACTGAAAGATCCTGTTTATATAACATTCACGAGTTAATGAAATTATTGAAATGGAGGGCAGATTAATGACTACCAGGGACTAGAGAGGGGCATATGGAGGGAGGTAATGATGAGTATGAAATGGTAACATGAGGA
This sequence comes from Homo sapiens, assembly GCF_000001405.40. Lineage (NCBI taxonomy): Eukaryota > Metazoa > Chordata > Mammalia > Primates > Hominidae > Homo > Homo sapiens. Next base: position 106,348,429 of record NC_000009.12, read on the forward strand.
TCCTTGTGATGGAACTGTTCTGCATTTTGACTGTGGTGATAGATACACAAACCTACATATATGATTACATTGCATGTAACCACACACACACACACACACACACACCAGGGCATGAAATTTGAATAAGACCCATATATTGTATCAATATCATTTTTCTGTTTGTTATATACTATTGTTATGCAAGAATGCAAGATGTTGACATTGGGGAAAACTGGGTGAAGAGTATATCTCTCTGTATTATTTATTACAACTGATGTGAACCTAAAATTATCTCAAAATTATTTTTATTTTTTAATTTTTTTGTCTTACATCTTTTTATTTTAATTTAATATTTTGTATTAATTTTTATTTCAATAGCTTTTGGGGTACAAGTGTTTTTTTGTTACATGGATGAATTATACTGTGGTGAACTCTGAGATTTCAGTGGACCTGTCACCCAAGGGGTGTACACTGTACCCAACGTGTAGTTTTTTGTCTCTAGGCCCCATCCCACCTTCCCACTCCTAAGTCTTTAAAGTCCATTGTATAACTCTACATGCCTTTGTGGACTCATAGCTTAGCTTCCACTTATAAGTAAGAACATACATTTTTTGGTTTTTCACTCCCGTGTTACTTCACTTAGAATAATGGCCTCCAGCTCCATCCAATTTGCTGCAAAAGTCATTATTTTATTACTTTCAATGGTAGATTACTATTCCATGGTGTATATATGTACCACATTTTCTTTATCCACTTTGTTGATGGGCACTTACATTGGTTCCCTATCTTTGCAACTGTGAATTGTGCTGCCATAAACATACATCTTCAAGTGTCTTTTTCATGTAATGATTTATTTTCCCTTTGATATATACTCAGTGGGATTGCTGGATTGAATGGTAGGTCTACTGTTAGCTCTTTAAGGAATCTCCATACTGTTTTCCATAGAGGTTCTACTAGTTTACATTCCCACCAGCTGTGTATACGCCTTCCCTTTTCCCCACATCCATGGCAATGTCTACTGTTTTTTGACTTTTTAACAATGGCCATTTTTGTAGGAGTAAGTGGTATTCAAAATTATTTTTAAAGAACACTTATAAATCAATTATAGTACCATCAATAGAAAAATAAACATTGAATAAAGGGCATGGAAATAATTCACAGTTGAAGAAATACGGATGACCAACAAAACAAATTTATCCTCACTGGCAATCAGAGAAAGCCAAAATGAATAATTAATTTTAAGTTATCAAATTTAAAAAACTATGTTAAAGTTATCAGATGGCACTCTTTGGAGTATAACTATGATGCTGTTTGGAATGTTAACAGGTATAAATTTCTTTTTTTTTTTTGAGATGGTGTCTCACTGTGTCACCCAGGCTTGAGTGCAATGGCGCGATCTCAGCTCATTGCAACCTCCACCTCCTGGGTTCAAGTGATTCTCCTGCCTCAGCCTCCCGAGTAGCTAGGATTACATGTGCCCGCCACCACGCCTGGCTAATTTTTGTATTTTTAGTAGAGATGGGGTTTCACCAGGTTGACCAGGCTGGTCTCGAACTCCTGACCTCAGGTGATCCACCCACCTCGGTCTCCCAAAGTGCTAGGATTGCAGGCGTGAGTCACGGCACCCAGCCAAACTATAAATTTCTTAAAAACCAATTAGGTGGCTGGGTGAGGTGGTTCACGCCTGTAATCCCAGCAATTTGGGAGGCCAAAGCAGATGGATCACCTGAGGTGAGGAGTTTGAGACCAGCCTGGCCAACATCGTGAAACCCCGTCTCTACTAAAAATACAAAAATTAGCCAGGCGTGGTGGTGGACGTCTGTAATCTCAGCTACTCGGGAGTATGAGGCAGAGAATTGCTTGAACCTGAGAGGCAGAGGTTGCAGTGAGCTGAGATTGCGCCACTGCACTCTAGCCTGGGTGACAAAGCGAGACTCCGTCTCAAAAATAACTAAATAAAAAATAAAAACAATTAGGCTAGATATATTACAATGCCTAAAAGAGTTTATGCCCTTTAACCCAGTAATACCACTTGTACAAATTAATTCCAAAGAGATGATCAGCTGCGCAAAGAGTATTGTATAAGGATAATCCTAAAAATATTTATAATAGAATAAAAGATAATCTAAATATCTGACAAGGGGATGGTTAAACAGTTAAATATAATGCAATTGTTTATGAACATTAAATTATGATTTGAATAAATATTAAAGACATAGGAAAATGTTCAGGTTATAATATTGAGACAGAGGTGGGATATAAAGGGGAAATGTCTTATTTAAAAAATGTGTAAATATCTATTTATATATATTTTTATATGACAATTTTAGCAGTGGTTATGGGTAATTTCAATTTTCTTCTTTATACTTTCTTTTATTTCCCAAAGTATCTACAAGGAGCATGAATGTTCTTTATATTAAGAAAGAAAAATTTTAAAACATGTGTCTACTAGGAATAACAAAACATTTGCAAAGTTGCTCATTTGGCTTACCTGCCAGCACTTGTTCCAGCTTCCTCTTCCTCTCCCACTTTGCACCCCACACTTTTAACTAGTGTTCACTTACTCTCATCCTTCTCTCTCACAGACCTCACTTCCTGTTCAAAGCCAGTGACTGTGTCTAGGCTCAAACTTCCCCCATCCACATTTTTGCTCAGTTTCTTAGTTATCTGACCTCTTCTGCTATCTTCGGGCTTTCTCTGCTCATTGCAAATGGGCAATGGAACAAAGATGCATGAGTCACTGGTCTATGAAAAATATTTTTAAAATATCTATTGTATTTTGTTTTGTTTATAGAAATGGTTTTTTTCTTGAGATTACAAAAATAAAATTTTTATTGTAAAATAAGACAATGTACAAGTTAGAAAATAACAATCTCTTCTTTGTCTCTTTAGTAAATGGATAGATTGGTTGATAGAAAGATGGATGTATTTGTGTTAGCATAGGTGAAGGATAAATTGATGTATGTATGGACATGTGAATTGATGGATAGCTAGTTTTGGGATAAAAGGAATCACACATTACAGCTAGTCACCATGACAAAAATGATTCCAAAATTAATCTGCTAGAATAAACAGAATAGTTAGAGAACACTTTTAAAATAACATATAATGGAAGGGGATGCTGCCTTCCAGAAACTGAAATGAATTGCAGTGAGTTTAAATATTGAAGTATTGCCTGATTATTACTGCATTTTTCTTATAATTTAGTATATTGCCAACACACATATTGTCATGCTTTCCATGACAATAAATATGAATCAGTATGACCACCTTATCTGTGCAGTTTTACTTTACAAATGATCCACTAGTTTTTTTAAATGCTCTATAGTATGAATATTAGCTTGTTTCTCATATTTTAACATTATAAGCAATACTTTAATAAATGTCCCCTCATACACACTGTTTTAAAAAAAAGTTTTCTTTTAATTCCTTTAGAAAAAAAATATAGAAGTAGATTTGCCAGAACAGAGTCATGTTTTAGGTTTGGATATGAATTTCCAGTTTCCCTTCAAAAGAAGTGGGCTAATTAATATATTTCTGCCAGCATCTTGTGACAGTGATTATTTTTCTACATTTTTACTAACTTGTGACACTATAAACCTTGTAAATTATTGCTATTTTAACAGGTAAAAAAATTCTAGTTTAAATTTGAGTGCATATTTATTGAAGATATGCGTCTTTTTATATACTCAATATTTTACATTTCTTTTGATTTTCCAGTCATATATTTTGGTATTTACTTAAATTTTCAGCAAAATACATGTGCATGGTTTAAAGGTTACATTAAAGCAACAAGGATTATTAGCAAAAATAGTGTTTCTCTGCCTGTCTTGTTTTCCCTCCCATTGTCCTCCCAATCCTGCTACCCAATGATAGCCTGTTTAGCTTATTAAATAGTTTATTCTGATATTTAATTAATTTAATATCATGTTTTTAACTAATGTACTTTTTCACTACTTGTTGATTTTTCAAATTCAGATGTTAGGTATTGATTTACTACCAGGTAAGAGGAAAATTTAACTCTCCTTCAACATTCCTCCTATCACACCCTGTCCCTATGGACATATTCAGTTATCTTCAATCATCTTTTAAATGTAGATTTATTATAATTTTGGACTAAATTTACATTCACTCATTTTGTCGTTATTACATAAACATTACTCACTGCTCAGTAAGTATCGTAGGTAGTTTAAGTTTGCTATCTGGTTCAATTTTCTGCTTCCCTGGAATTAATAATTACCTTATTTTGGGTTTACTTAATTTTCTTTGTACACAAACCTTTTCTTTTTTCTTTCCAAATTTTATTTTAGGTTCGGGGGATATAAGAGCAGGTTTGTTACATGGATAAATTGAGTGTCTCAGGAATTTGGTGTACAGATTATTTTTTCACAGAGGTAATAAGCATAACACCCCAATAGGTAGTTTTTCAGTCATCACCCTCATAACCTTCACCCTCAAGTAGGCCCCAGGGTCTATTGCTACCTTCCTTGTGTTCATGTGTACTCAATGTGTAGCTCCCACTTATAAGTGAGAACATGTGGTACTTGATTTTGTGTTGCTGCGTTGATTCACTTAGGATAATGACCTCCAGCTCCATCCATGTTGTTGCTAAGAACATGATTTCGATCTTTTCTATGGCTGGATAGTATTCCGTGGTGTATATGTACCACATTTTCATTATCCAGTCCACCATTGATGGGTGTTTAGATTGATTCCATGTCTTTGCTATTGTGAATAGTGCTATGATGAAAATACACGTCTATGTGTGGTAGAGTCATTTATATGCCTTTGGGTATGTACCCGATAATGGGATTGCTGGGTCAAATTGTAATTCTGTTTTAATTTCTTTGAGAAATCTCCAAACTGCTTTCTACAGTGGCTGAACTAATTTACATTCCCATCAGCAGTATATAAGTGTTCCCTTTTCTCTGCAACCTCACCAGCATCTTCTATTTTTGACATCTTATTAATAGCCATTCTGGCTGGTGTCAGGTGGTATCTCATTGTGGTTTCGATTTTGGATTTCTCTAATGATTAGTAATGGTAAGTTTTTTTGTTTTTTTTTGTTTTTTGTTTTTTGTTTTTGAGACGAAGTCTTGCTCTTGTCGCCCAGGCTGGAGTGCAATGGCAAGATCTCGGCTCACTGCAACCTCCGCCTCCTGAGTTCAAGCAATTCTCTTGCCTCAGCCTCCCGAGTAGCTGGGATTACAGGTGCCTGCCACCACGCCCGGCTAATTTTTGTATTTTTAGTAGGGATAGGGTTTCACCACATTGGTCAGGCTGGTCTCAAACTCCTGACCTCAGGTGATCCACCTGTCTCAGCCTCCCAAACTGCTGGGATTACAGGTGTAAGCCACTGCACCCGGCCGAGCATTTTTTCCTATGTCTTCTTTTTGAGAAGTGCCTGTTAATACTCTTTGCCCACTTTTCAATGAGGTTTTTGTTTTTGTTTTGCTCGTAAATTTAAGTTTGTTTTGAATATTAGACCTTTTTCAGATGCATGGGTTGCAAATATTTTCTCCCATTCTGTAGGTTTTCTGTTTACTCTGCTGATAGTTTATTTTGCTGTGCAGAAGCTTTTTAGTTTAATTTGGTCCCATTTGTCATTTTTTGTTTTTGTTGCAATTGCTTTTGGAGTCTTCCTAATGAAATCTTTGCCAGGGCTTATGTCCAGAATGATATTTCCTAGGTTTACTCATGAGGTTTTTTTTTTATATATAATTTTAGATTTTGCATTTAAGTGTTTAATCCATCTTGACTTGATCTTTGTATATGGTGAAAGAAAGAGATCCAGTTTTAATCATCTGCATATTGGCTAATCAGTTACCCCAGCACCTTTTATTAAATAGGGAGTCCTTTCTCCATAGCTTGTTTTGTTGACTTTGTCAAAGATCAGATGGATGAAGCTGTGGAGTTTTATTTCTGGATTCTTTAAGCTGTTTCATTAGTGTATACTTTTTTTTTTTTTTTTTACCAGTACCTTGTTGTTTTGAAAAACGTAGCCTTATAGTATAATTTCAAGTTGGGTAATGCAATGCCTCTGACTGTGTTTTTTGGTTTTTGTTTTTGTTTGTTTGTTGTTGTTTTGCTTAAGATTGCCTTGGTTGTTCAGGCTCTTTTTTTGGTTCCATATGAATTTTAGAATGGTTTCTTTCTAATTCTGTGAAATAGTAATAGCATTGAATCTATAAATTGCTTTGGGTAGTATGGCCATTTTAACAATATTAATTCTTCCTCTCCATGAGCATGGAATGTTTTTCCACTTGTTTTTACTGTCTCTGATTTATTTAAGCAGTGTTTTGTAATTCTCATCGTAGAGATCTTTCAACTCCCTGTTAGCTATACTCTTAGGTATTATTTTTTGTGGCTCTTGTGAATGGAATTGCATTCTTGATTTGGCTCTCAGCTTGGACATTGCTGGTGTATAAAAATGATGTTAATTTTTGGTACATTGATTTTGTATGGTAAAACTTTCCTAAAGTTGTTTATCAGACCTAAGAGCTTTAAGCAGATACTATAGGATTTTCTAGGTATAAAATTATATCATCGGAAAAGATAGTTTGACTTCCTCTCTTCCTATTTGGTTGCCTTTTATTTCTCTTGCCTGACTGCTCTGGTTAGGACATCCAGTAAATAGGAGTGGTGAGAGAGGGCATACTTATCTTGTTCTGCTTCTCAAAAGGAATGCTTCTGGCTTTTGTCCGTTCCGTGTGATGTTGACTATGGGTTTGTCATGCATGGCTCTTATGATTTTGAGGTATATTTCTTCAATGCCTATTCCGTTGAAGTTTTTAGCATGAAAAGATGTTGAATTTTATTGAAAGCCTTTTATGTGTCTATTGAGATGATCCTGTGGTGTTTGTTTTTAGTTCTGTGTGATGAGTTACACTTATTGATTTTCTATGTTGAACCAACCTTGCATCCCAGGAATAAAGTCAACTTGATCATGGTAGATTAGCTTTTTGATGCGCTGTTGAATTAAGTTTGCTGGTATTTTGTTGAGGATTTTTGCATCTATGTTCATCAGGGATATTGGCCTGAAGTTTTCCTTTTCTGTTGTGTCTTTGCAAGGTTTTGGTATGAGAATAATGCTGGCCTCACAGAATGAGTTAGAGAAGAGTTCCTCCTCCTCAATTTTTTGGAATAGTTTCAGTAGGGTTGGTACCAGCTCTTCCTTGTATGTCTGGTAGAATTCAGCTGTGAATCCTTCTGGTCCAGGGCTTTTTCTGATTGGTAGGCTTTTTATTACTGATTCAATTTCAGAACATGTTATTGATCTGTTCAGGGTTTCAATTTATTCCTAGTTCAATCTTGAGAGGTTGTATGTTTCCAGAAATTTATCTATGTCTTCCAGGTTTTCTAGTTTGTGTGCATAGAGGTATTCATAATAGTCTCTGAGGGATTTTTTAAAATTTCTGTGGGGTCAGTGGTAATGTCCCCTTTGTGATTTCTGATTGTATATTTGGATCTTCTCTGTTTTTTGAATTAGTCTAGCTAGCAGCCTATCAATCGTATTTATTCTTTCAAAAAACTAACTTTTGGTTTTGTTTTTCTTTTGTATTTTTTTTTTTTTTTTTTTGCATTTCAATTTCATTCACTTCAGGATGTTTCTGTTTATTTCTTTTCTTCTAATAGCTTTGGGGTTGGTTTGCTCTTGTTTTTCCAATTCCTCTAGGTGAAATCTTAGGTTGTTACTATGAGATCTTTTTAACTTTTTCATGTGGGTGTTTAGTACCATAAACTTTCCTCTTAACACTGCTTTAGCTGTGTCTCAGAGATTCTGGCATGTTGTAACTTTGTTTTCATTAGTTTCAAATAATTTCTTGATTACTGCATTAATTTCATTGTTTACCCAAAATCATTCAGAGGCAGATTGTTTAATTTCCATGTAATTGTATGGTTGTGAGAGTTCTTTGTATTGATTTCCATTTTCATTATGCTGTTGTTTAAAAAAGGGGTTGATATAATTTTGTTTTTCTTAATTATTTGAACATTGTTTTATGGCCAAACATGTGGTTGATTTTAGAGCATGTGCCATGTGAAGAAGAGAAGAATACATAATCTGTTGTTTTGGGGTGGAGTGGTCTATAGACATCTGTTTTGAGTTTCGGTTCCAAATATCTTTGTTAGTTTTCTACCTTGATGATCTGTCTAATACTATCAGTGGGCTGTTGAAGTCTTCCACTATTATTGTGTGGTTATCTAGGTCTCTTCATAGGTCTCTAAGAACTTGTTTTATGAATCTGAGTATTCCAGTATTGACTGCATATATATTTAGGATAGCTACATCTTCTTGTTGAATTGAACTGTTTATCATTATGTAATGCCCTTTTTTGTCTTCTTTGACTATTGTTGGTTTAAAGTGTTTTGTCCGAAATTAGAATAGCAACCCCTGCTCTTTCTTGTTTTCTGTTTTGTAGATTTTTCTCTATCCCTTTACTCTTAGCCTATAGGTGCCATTGCAAGTGAGATAGGTTTCCTGAAGACATCATACAGTTGGGTCTTTTGTATGTATCCAACTTGCCACTCTGTGCCTTTTAAATGGGGGGTTTAACTTATTAACATTCAAGGTTAATATTGATAAGTGTGGATTTGATCCTGTCATCATGTGTTTAGGTGGTTATTATACAGACTTGATTGTGTAGTTGCTTCATAGTTTCAATAGTCTATGTCTTTAAGTGTGTTTATGTGGTGTCTGGTAATGGTATTTTGTTGCCATATTTAACACTCCCTTAATGACTTCCTGTAAGGTAGGCCTGGTGATAACAAGTTTCCTTAGTATTTGCATATCTAAAAAGGATTTTTTTTCTTCTTCATGTATGAAGCTTAGTTTGGTTGAATATAAAATTTTGAGATGGAATTCTGTTTATTTAATAATGCTGAATATAGGCCCAAATATTGTTCTGATGAAAGGTCTGGTGTTAGTCTGATGGGGTTCTCTTTCTAGATGACCTTCCCCTGCCTGTAATATTTTTTCTTTAATATTGATGTTGGAGAATCTGATGACTGTGTGTCATGGGGATGGTCACCTTGTATAGCATCTCACAGGGGTTCTCTGAATTGCCTGAATTTGTATGTCAACCTCTCTAACCAGGATGGGGAAATTTTTGTGGACAATATCCTCAAATTTGTTCTCCAAGTTGCTTGTTCCCTTTTTCTCTCTTTCAGGGATGCCAATGAGTTATAGATTTGGTCTCTTTACATAATCCCATATTTCTTTAATAATCCCCATATTTCTTGGAGGTTTTGATCATCCTTTTTTATTTCTTTATTTTTGTCTGACTGATTTGTTTTGAAGAACTGGTCTTTGAGCTCTAAGATTCTTTCCTCAGTTTGTTCTGTTCTGCTGTTAATACTTCTAATTCTATTACGAAATTCTTGTAGTAAGTTTTTCAGTTCTATCAGATTAGTTTGGTTCTTTATTAAATTGGCTATTTCAAATTTCAGCTCCTATATCATTTTATTGGATTCCTTAGATTCCTTGGATTGACTTTTGACTTTATCCTGAATCTCGATTACCGTCATTGCTATCCAGATTCTGAATCCTTTGTCTGTCACTTCAGGTATTTTAGCCTGGTTAAGAACCATTGCTTGGAAGCTAGTGTGGTCATTTGAAGGTTAGAAGACTCTCTGGCTTTTTGAGTTGTTAGAATTCTTGCACTGGTTCTTTCTCATCTGTGTAAGCTAATGATGTTCCTTTAATATTTGAAGTTTCTGTTCTTTGGATGGGGATTGTTGCTTTTATATTCTTTGCCCTTGAGCATTTGAGTGTAGTATAAATTGGGTTCAGGTGACTGGCTTTGTTTCTGGATGATTTCAGGGGGCCAAGCCTCAGCTCAGTACTTCTAGGCTGCATGCTCTAATCCTAGGAGGCTGGTACCAGGACAAGTGTTTTGTTCTCTGGCCCCTCTAGGTTAAGAACCTACTGCACTGGAGGGGACAATGTGTGGTGTTCCCAGTCCACTGGCAACAATCTTCTGATGGGGGGTACTGGCAAAGGTGCTTCATCAGGCCAGTGGCAGTGGGTCTGTGCACACAGGCATGTACTGATGGCAGTGATGCAATGGTGTTCATGTGTGTGCTGGCAGTTGTGGGGCAGTGGGGTATGCACACTTGTGTGCCGGCTAGGGCAGGATGGTGGTGGCAAGGTCCACACTTGTGTGTGTCAGTGGTAATGGGGAAGTGCAGTCTGCATGCTTACATGTTGGCAAAGCAGTGGGGAGAAGCTACAAGTGAGTGGATGTTGGTGGGGGCCCATCTGCTGAAATTCTCTGATGGTTAAACAAGTTCTACTATTGAAGGAACTATGGCAGCAGCCACCAGTAAGCACCCTTGTTGGGCATCTGAGGCTGTTCTGCAAGCAGGTACAGCCTGGCAGGGACTCCAAGGAGGCCGGCAGACAGGGGGGCACACAGATCACACTGGCTCCCTCCCACGGGCAAGACCACCTTGCTCTGTCCAAGTGTGGCAGTCAAGAAAGGCCAAAGCCACCTAAAGGAGTGTGGCAAGCCTTGGGGGATAGACATCCGTGGCTGTGCTCCACTGCAGCCATTCCTGTGTCAAACCCTCTGGGCTTGGCACAAGATGGAGTCCTTTTGTGCCACCTCCTCAAGAAGCTCTCCCTGTCAGATCAAATGTCTGTGGGGGTCATGGGGTGTCCTGCCGCTAGGATTTTATGGGTCCATTGTGAGAGTGGGCCATTCCTCACCTGTTTAATTCACTCCTTCCCCAGGTGCTGCTGAGGGCCAGGAATGAATCCTAGCGCTCTGGAGCCCCATGCAGGGTTCCCAGACTCCTCTGCCTTCAACCCAGGGTCTGTGTCTTCCCTGCATCCACTCTCAATGCCTTTATTCCAAAGATCTGCTCAGAATGTGCCAGTCTTCTTCATAGTCTGGTCTCTTGGTGGAGATGCTCTTCCTGGTTTTGTCTAGTCAGCCATCTTGTCTCTTCTAGCCACACAAACTTTTTTAATCATCAGATTCTATGGTAGAGTAATAAAACTTCTTTTCATAGATTAAACACACTAGGTAAGCTATAATTTTTTTCTAAAAAATGTCTTCATCATCTTGCTCCAATCTCAACTAGTTTATATTTGGGCCCACCGTGCAAATATCATCCTTTCACTTTCTGAATTTCCTGAAATTCCTTCTTCGGGTTCCTTGTGTTTAAACACCTATTTCTTGGATGTCATTTTATCATTTTTCTTAATTTTGTTTTAGTACATTACTTCAGTACAATATTGAGAAAGAGTACATGGGAACTATTTCATTTTTGAGAATTTGAATGTCTAAAAATATATTTTTCTACTCATATACTTGATTGATAATTTGCTTGTATATGTAATTCTAGATTGGAAATCATTTCCTCTCAAAATATGGAAGGCATTTTTTTCCCATTGTTTCTGCTTCCGTGATGTTGCTGTAAAAAGTCCAGTACTATTCTGATTCTTAATCTCTTGTGTTTTTTTTCTTTCTTTCTGGAAGTTTTTAGAATGTTTTCTTTATTCTTAAGGTACTGAAATTTCATGACAATATACTTGTGAGTTCTTTTACATCACTTGTGCTGACTGGTGGGAGTAGGTTTTTTTTTTTTTGAGACAGAGTCTCATTCTGTCACCCAGGCTGGAGTGCAGTGGCGCCATCTCGGCTCACTGCAAGCTCCGCCTCCCGGGTTCACGCCATTCTCCTGCCTCAGCCTCCCGAGTAGCTAGGACTACAGGTGCCAGCCACCATGCCTGGCTAATTTTTTGTATTTTTAGTAGAAACAGGGTTTCACCGTGTTAGCCAGGATGGTCTTGATCTCCTGACCTCGTGATCCACCCACCTAGGCCTCCCAAAGTGCTGGGATTACAGGCGTGAGCCACTGCACCCGGCCAGGAGTAGTTTTTAAGTAGATTTGTGTGTGCTGGCCTTAAGAAATGTTTTATATTACTTCTTTGATAATTCTTCCGTCTCTCTTTCTCAGACACACACACTTGCTAACTCTCACTCATGCACTTTTGTTCTCTCTTTCTGTAACTCCTATTGGTTGGGCCTCTTGAATTAGTTCTCTAATTTATCATATTTTAGCTCCCATTTTGTCTTATTTCCTTATGCTCTGTTTTCTAAAGATTTTTCTAGACTTTTCTAGACTCTGAGAGCTTCCAATTTCCACTGGATATTTTATTTTTACCTATCATATTATTTTCTTATTCCCTGTATGCTCTCTTTTTGTCATGTTCCATTCTTTCTTCATGAATGCAATGTCTTCTCTTATTGCTATGAAGATACTCTATTTTTGAGCTTTCCTCTGCTCCTAGTGTTATAGTTTTTCTTTTATGCTAATTTTTGTTTCTGTCTTTCATATTGAAACCTTTCCTTATATATCTTCTAATCCTTGTCTAATTGTATTTTGGAATCAGGCACTAGAAAACTAATTGAAAGCCTTATGTGGGATCAGGGAGTTATTATGCTCATAGACCGTGAGTGTTTCTGTTGCGTGATGGACTTTTTGTTTTTCTTCATTGTGGTTCTCTAAATATCAGAACCTGTGAGATGTTACTCATGGACAAAATCTTTTCAGGCATTGAGCTCTACAAACTAGTTAGAGGGTGGGGTGCCAGCCTTCTGAGGGCTGGGCAAGTGAGTTTTACAGTACAGTAAGCATCTTCCACTTAATTCTTCTGTTTTCAGGAGGGTTTCTAACCCTCAACATTTCCTGAGAAAATTGAAAGTATACTTCCTGATGTCTATGATAGAAGAAGGATGACTCTTCTGCTTTATGAATTGGAGAAGGGAATCTCTTTTTAAGAACTTTTACCATTTTTCAACAAATTATTTCCTTGATCAATTCATCCTTTGATGGACACTTGGCTATTGTTAATAATGCTGCAGTGAACATGGGAGTGCAGATATCTCTTTGACCTAACTGATTTTATTTCCTTACCCAAAAGTGAGATTGCTTAATCATATGATAGTTCTATGACTTTTTGAGGAACCTCCATAGTGTTTTCTATAATGGCTGTACCAATTTATATTCCAATCAACAGTGTGTAAGTTTCCCTTTTCTCCATATCCACACCAACACTTGATTTTTTAAAATGATAGTCATTCTAATAGGTGTGATGTAACAGCTTCTTGTGGGTTTCATTTGCATTTTCCTAATGATCAATGAAGCTGAGCATATTTTTTATATACCTCTTGACTATGTGTCTTCTTTTGAGAAATGTCCATTCAAGTCTTTTGTCCATTTTTTTAATTGGGTTATTGGGTTTTTTCTATTTAGTTGTTTGAATTTCTTATATTTTTTGGATATTAATCAAATATTTTTCCCATTCCTTAGGTTATTTTCTCTGTTGATTGTTTTGTTTGCTGTAAAGAAGCTTTTTAGTTTTATGCAATCCCATTAGTCTGTTTTTGCTTTTTTAGCCTGTGCTTTTTGGTGTCAGACCTAAAATATAATTGCCCAGACCTATGTCAACAAGCTTTTACCCTGTGTTTTCTTCTGGTAGTTTTGCAGCTTCAGGGCTTACATTTAAGTCTTTAATCCATTTTGAGTTGTTTTTTGTATGTGGTGTAGAATAAGTGGCCAATTTCATTCTTCTGGATATGGATATCCAGTTTTCCCAACACCATAAGTTGAAGAGATTATCTGTTCCCCATTGTGTGTTCTTAGTACCCTTGCCAAAAACCAGTTGGCTATATATGTGTGGATTTACTTCTGGGTTCACTATTATGTTCCATCAGTCATATGTCTGTTTTTATACCAGCACTGTACTTTTCTGATTACTGTAGCTTTGTGATATATTTTGAAATCAGGAAATATGATTCTTCCAGCTATGTTCTTCTTGCTTAAAATTGCATTGGCAATTTGTGGTTCCAAATGAATCATAAGATTGTTTTATCTAAACCTATGAAAAATGCCATTTTAATTTTGATAGGGATTGCACTAAATCTGTACATCGCTTTTGGTTATGGACAGTCTAACAATATTAATTCTTCCAATCCATGAACACAGAATATCTTTCCGTTCATTTGGGTGGTGTTCAATTACTTTCATCAATGTTTTATAGTTTTTAGTACAAGGTTTTTTACCTCCTTGGGTAAATTTATTCCTAAATATTTTTGATGCTATTGTAAATGGGATTGTTATTTCAATTTATTTTTTGTGTAGTTTGTCATTAGTGTATAGAAATGCACATGATTTTTGTATGTTGAATTTGTGTTCTGCAACTTTCCTGAATTTATTTATTAGTTTGAATGGTTTTCTGGCAGCATCTTTATGGTTTTCCACGTATAAGATCATGTCATCTGCAGACAATTTTACTTCTTTTACAACGTGGATGAATTTTCTTTTTTTTTGTTTTGTTTAGTTTCTCTGGTTAGGACTTCCAATACTATGTTTTACAGAAGTGACAAGAGTGGATATTTTTGTCTTGTTTATAATCTTCAAGACAAAGTTTTAAGCTTTTAACTGTTGAGTATTATATTAGCTGTGGGCTTATCATGCATGGCCTTTATTATGTTAAGATGTGTTTCTTCTGTAGCTAATTTTTAAAGAACATTTTATTACTAATGAATTTTGTCAAATGCTCTTTTCTGCATCTATTGAAATAATCATATAATTTTTAATCCCTTATTCTGTTAATATAGTGATTGATTTAAGTATGTTGAACCTTTTTTACATGCCAGGAATAAATTCCACTTGATCATGGTATATTATCCTTTTAACACTCTATTAAATTTTATTTCCTAGTATTTTGTTGAGGTTTTTTTTTTTTTTCATCAGTGTTAATTAGGCAAACAGGCCTATAATTTTTGTTGTTTGTAGTATCCTTGTCTGGCTTTGACAATGGGACAAAGCTGGGCTGAAAAAATCAGTTTGGAAGTATTCCCTCCTCTCCAATTAAAAAAAAAATCGATAAGAACTTGCATTAATTCTTCTCAGGTGTTTAGTAGCCATCAGATCTTGGGCTTTTTTTTTTTTTTTTTTTTTTTTTGAGGAGGGAGGAGGTATTTGATTACTGATTCAATCTTATTTATTATTGATCCTTTCAGATTTTCTATTTCTTCGTGGTTTAGTCTTGGTAAGTTATATGTTTCTAGGAATTTATCCATTTCTTCTAGTTTATCTAATTTGTTATTGTATAATTGTTCATAGTATCCTCTTGTGATCCTTTGTATTTCTGTTATATCAGTTGTAATGTCTCCTTGTCTTAGTTTTTGCTACTATAATAAATTACCATGCACTGGGTAGTTTATAAATAATATATATTTATTTCTCATGGTTATGAAGGCATGGAGGTCCAAGATCAAGGCACTGGGAAAATTGATGTCTGATTTGGGCTGCCATCTGCTTCCAAGATGGTGACTTGTTGCTGCACCCTTCATAGAGGAGAAATGCTGTGTTCTCACATGGAACAAGGGACAGAAGGGGTGAAAAGAGGAGAACTCCTTCCATCAAGCCCATTTGTAAGGGCATCTAATTCCATTCATGAGAGCAGAGCCCTCATAACTCAATCGCTTCCTAAAGGCCACACTTGTTAATATTGTTGCATTGGAAATTATGTTTCAACATGAATTTTGGAAGGGGCATCATCATTCAAACAATTGCATTCTGCCCCCAGTCCTCTAAAATTTATGTCCTTCTCACATACAAAATATTTTTATTCTATCCCAATAGCCCCCAAAGTCTTAACTCATCCCAGCATTAACTCTAAAGTCTAATCCAGAATCTCTCATAAATATCGTCTAAATCACATAAGGGTGAGACTTGCATTATAATTTATCTGAAGGCAAATTTCCTTCTAGCTTCCTTTCCTGAAGCAATTTTTCTTCCAAATTTTCCTGTAAAATCAAACAAGTTATATGCTTCCAAAAAATGGTGGTGAGGCTGGCATAGAATAGACATTTCCATTCAAAGGGAGAAATAGGCAAGAAGAAAGAGTAACAAGTCCTAATTAAGTTCAAAATCCAACAAGGCAAGCAACAGTTAAATTTATTTTTATGTATTTTTATATTTTTAATTCAATAGATTTTGGGGGAACAGGTGTTACATGAATAAGTTCTTTAATGGTGATTTCTGAGATTTTGATGCACCCATCACCCAAGCTGTGTACACTGTACCTAATGTGTAGTCTTTTATACGTCACCCCCTCCCACCATTTCCTCCAAGCCCCAAAGTCCATTGTATCATTCTTATGCCTTTGTATCCTCATAGCTTAGCTCCCACTTATGAGTGAGAGCATACGATGTTTAGTTTTCCATTCCTGAGCTACTTCACTTAGAATAACTGTCTCCAGTTCCATCCAGGTTTCTGTAAATGCCACTATTTCATTCCTTTTTATGACTGAGTAGCATTCCATGGTATTTATATACCACATTTTCTTTATCCACTCATTGAATGATAGGCATTTGGGCTAGTTTCATATTTTTGCAATTGTGAATTGTGCTGCTAAAAACATGCGTGTGCAGGTATCTTTTTCGTATAATGACTTCTTTTCCTGTGGGTAGATACATAGAAGTTGGATTGCTGGATCAAATGGTTAATATATTTTTAGTTATTTAAGGAATCTACACTGTTTTCCATAGTGGTTGTATTAGTTTACATTCCCCACCAAAGGTGTAAAAATGTTCCCTTTTCGCCATATCCCCGTGCCAACACCTATTGTTATTATTTTTTATTATTACCATTCTTGCAGGAGTTAGCTGGTATCACCATTGTGGTTTTGCTTTGTATTTCCCTGATAATTAGTGATGTTGAGCATTTTTTTTCATATGTTTGTTGGTCATATGTATATCTTCTTTTGAGAATTGTCTATTCATGTCCTTAGCCCACTTTTTGATGGGATTGTTTGTTTTTTTCTTGCTGATTTGTTTGAGTTTCTTGTAGATTCTGGATATTAGTCATTTGTCAGATGTATAGATTGCGAAGATTTTCTCCCATTCTGTGGGTTGCCTGTTTACTCTGCTGATTGTTTCTTTCACTAAAGCAACATTAAATCTTAAGGCTGGAGAATAATCTTCTTTGACTCCACGTCCCACCTGCCAGACACATTGGAAGGAGGTGGGTTTACAAGGCTACAGGGAACTCTTCACTCAGGCTTTGCTAGACACAGCCCATACCACAGTCCTCATGGATTAGACTCAGGTGCTTGTGGCTTTCCCAGTTTGGTATTGCATGCTAGTGACTCTATAGGTATATAGTCTGGGGGATGGCTCTGCCCCTATGAATCCTCTAAGCATTCATTTAGTGAGGACTTTCTGCAGTGGCCCCACCCCTGGGGCATGTCTCTGCCTGGTCCCTGAGGCTGTTCAAGACATCCATTGTAATCTAGGTGGAGGTAGCCCTGCCTCCTCAGCTTCTGCACTCTGCACATCCACAGAGTGGACAATGCCAAGACTATGGCTTGTGCTTTCAGGTGTGGTGGCCCAACCTGCACCTGGGCTTGCTTGAGCCACAGTTGGTGTAGCCAAGGAGCACTGGAGCAGAATACAGGGGGCAGAGAATTGAGGTAACCCTGGACAATGAGCCCGAAGTTCCCAAGGGTTCCCTAAATCTCTCCCTTGAAGTCATTCTGCCCTCAAAGTCCTAGAACTCTGGGCCTCTAAAGGTAATGGCAGCCTTGAGAATCTCTGAAGCACCTTTGGTATTGTTCTCCCATTGTCTTCATGAATAGCACCTGGTTTCCTTCTACCCATGCTCATCTCTTTATTATGTGGTTGCTTGATAAGACCCTTGGTTTTCTCTCCTAAACATACCTTTTTTTTACATGACTAGGGGGAGAATTTTCTGAGTCTTTGCATCCTGTTTCCCTTTGGTTATAGATTCCATATTTAACTTGCTTCTCTTCTTAGATTTTACTATAAACAGTTGAGAAAAGCCACAAAGACCCTTGATGCTCTGCTTAGAGATTCATTCCACCAAGTATCCTAGTCCATCACTCTTAAATTCTGCCCTCTGCAAAGTAGAACACAGACACAATTCAGCCAAGTTCTTTGACACTTTGTAACAAGAATGGTCTTTCCTCCAGTTTCCAGTGATATAGTTCTTATTTCCATCTAAGACCTCATAAAAATGGCCTTACTATCTGTATTTCTACCAACATTCTGTTCATGACCAGTTAAATAATCTCTAAAACTGTGGATTTTTTTCTATGGTTCTCCTGAGCTCTCTCAAGAATTACTTTTTATGCTCCATTCATGGCAATCTAGGCTTTTTCTACCATGCAGTTCACAACTGTTCCAGCCTCTAACCACTACCCAGTTCCAAAGCTGCTTCTACATTTTTCAGGTATTTGTTACAGCAACAGTAACAAACAGTAACAACAGTCCACTTCTCTGGTACCAATTTCTGTTTTAGTCCATTTATGCTTCTATAAAAATACCACAAACTGGTTAATTTATAAACAGTAGAAATTGATTTATCATGATTCTGGAAGCTGGGAAATCCAAGATCAAGGCACTGGCAGGATTGAGGGCTGCTTTCTGCTTCCAAGAAGGGGCTTGTTACTGTGTACTCCCAAGGTGAGGGATGCTATTTCACCACAAGGGAGTTGGACAGAATAGATGAAAAGGGGAGAAATCTGTTCATCAGGCCCTTTTATAAGGGCACCTAATTCCATTCATGAAGATGGACCTTCTTTAGGCCATATATTTTCTGTATTTGTTCATTCTCTCACTGCTATAAAGAAATGCCTGAGACTGGGTAATTTATAAAGAAAAGAGATTTACTTGGCTCATGGTTCCACAGGCTGTGCAGGAAGCATGGCTGAGGGTTGGGGCCTCAGGAAACTTTTACTCATGGTAGAAGACAAAGCTGGAGTGGGTATCTTCACATGGTCAGAGCAGGAGGAATAGAGAGAGGGGAGAAGTGCTACACACAAACAACCAGATCTCCTGAGAATTTACTCAATGTACAGTACCAAGGGGGGATAGTACTAAACCACTGGAAGCCACCCCCATGATCCAATCACCTCCCACCAGGCCTCATCTCCAACACTGATGATTACAATTCAACATGAGATTTGGGTGGGGACACAGATTCAAACCATAATACTTGTAATACTGTTGCATTGGGGATTATGTTTCCACATGAATTTTGGAGGGGGCCTCATCATTCAAACCATTGCACACTTCTTTAAGTTTTAATCTTATATATTTGAATCTTATCTCTCTTTTTCTTAGTCTAGGTAAAGGTTTGTCAATTTTATCTTTTCAAAGGATAACTCTTAGTTTCCTTGATCTTCTGTGTTTTTCTGATCTCTATTTCATTTATTTCTGCTATGATATTTGTTATTTCTTTTCTTCTGCTAACCTTTGGCTTAACTTGTTCTTCTTTTTCTAGTTCCTTGAGGTGTAAAGTTAGGTTTTTGATGTGAAGCCTTTTTTATTTTTTAATGTAGGTTTGATTTCAGACCTTTTTTTGCAAACTTTGATTTCTTAAGGTTTGATTTGAAGCCTTTTTTATTTTCTTCTATAAGCTTTCCTCTTAGAACTGCTTTTGGAGCATCTCTTAAGTTTTGGTCTGTTGTATTTCCATTTTTCTTGGTCTCAGACATTTTGGGGCTTCTGTTTTTATTCTTCTTTGACTCATTGAATGCTTAAAAATGTGTTGTTTAATTTTCACATATATGTAAAATTTTAAATTTTGCTTCTGTTGATTTTAGTTTCATAGCAGAGTGGGTAGAAAAGATGCTTGATATGATTTCAATCTTCTTCAATTTGCTAAGACTTGTTTTGTGGCCTAACATATATGTTATCTATCTTGGAGAATGTTTTGTGTGCACTTGAAAACAATATGTATGCTGTTGCTGTTGGATGGAATGTTCTGTATATGTCTGTTAGATACATTTAGTCTATAGCACTGTTTGAGTCCACTGTTTTCTTATTGGTTTTCTTTCAGAATGATCTACCCATTGTTGAAAGTCGTAAATTTTCATCCCTAACTATTATTGTATTGCTGTCTATTTCTCCCTTTAGTTGTGTTACTATTTGCTTAATAAATGTAGGTGTTTCAGTGTTGGTTACATATATATTTTCCATTGTTATAGTCTTTTGATGAATTAACCATTTGTCATTACATTATGATTGGCTTTGTCTCTTGTGACAATGTTTGACTTAAATTTATTGTGTCTGATGTAAGAATAGCTACCCCTACTCTCTTTTAATTACCATTTATGTGGAATATCTTCTTCCATCTCTTCACTTTCAGCTTATGTGTGTCCTTAAAGCTAAAATGAATCTCTTGTAGGCAGCATATAGTTGAATCTTTTTTAAAAAAATGCATTTATCCACTCTATGTTTTTTGATTGGAGAATTTAATTCATTTTTATGTAAGGTAATTATTATAGGTAATAACTTACTATTGACAATTTTCCATTGTTTTTAAACTTTTTTTTCTTTTTATCTTGCTGTCTTCTTTTGTAATTTGATGTTTTTTTTTTTTTGTAGTGTTATGCTTTGGTTATTTTCTCCTTATCTTTGTATATCTACCACAGGCTTCTTCTTTGTGGTTACCATGAGGCTTATGTAAAACATTGCATAGTTATAACACAATCTAGTCTAACCTAATAACAACTTAACTTTGATTGAATACAAAAAGTCTGCACTTTAACTTTTCCTTCCTCAACTTTTATGTTATTGGTGTCAAAATTTATATTTTTAAAATGTGTATTCATTAACAAATTATTGTAGCTATAGATAATTTCTAATACTTGTGTCTTTTAACTTTTATACTACAGTTAAAAGTGATATACAACCATCACAGTATTAGGGTATTCTGAATTTGAGTATATTCTTAACTTTACAGTGAGTTTTATACTTTCATATGTTTTTATGTTGTTAATTAGTGTTCTTTTCTTTCTACTTGAATTCCCTTTAGCATTTCAAGGAAGGTGTAATGGTGATGAACTTCTTCAGCTTTTGTTTTTCTGGGAAGCCTTTATCTCTCTTTCACTTTTGAAGGACAGCTTGACTAGGTATAATATTCTTGGTTGGTAGTTTCTTTTTTTTTCTTTCTTTAAGCACTTTGAAACATACCATTCTTCTTGGCCTACAAGCTTTCTGCTAAGAAATCCACTAATGGTTTTATGAGGGTTTCTTTAGATGTGATGAGTTACTTTTCTCATTCTGCCTTTAATATTCTCTTTTTCTTTAACTTAAAAAATTAATTATAATGTGTTTTTGTGACGATCTCTTTATGTTTAATATATTTGTGGTTCTTTGTACGTCATGGATGTGGATATTTATTTCTCTCTCCAATTCAGAAGGTTTTCTGTCAAAATTTCTTTCAATGAGCTGTCTGCCCCTTTCCCTTTCTATGCTTCTTCTAAGATGTTCATAATGCATAGATTTGTCTTCTATATGCTGTTCCAGAAGTCCTACAGTCTTTCTTCTCTCTTTTATGTCATCTTTTTGTTTTTGTATTTGTTTGTTCTTCTGACTGGGTAATTTGAAATGGACTGTCTTCAGGCTTGCTGATTTCTTTCTTCTTGATGTGAGTCTGTTGTTGAAGGTCTCTATAAATGTTTTTAGTTAGGCTACTGTGTTCTCACACTCCAGAGGTTCTGTTTGGTTATATTTTATTGCTTGTATTTCTTTGTAAACTGCTCGTTTTGTTCATGTACTGTTTCCCTGATATTATTTAGATGTCTAAGTGTTTTCTCTTGTATCTCACTAAGCTTCCTTAAGATGATTATTTTTAATTTGTCAGGCATTTTGTAGATCTTCATTTCTTAGTTTGTTCCTTTGGTGGTGTCATGTTATCTTGATTTGTGTGTGTGTGACTCTTGTGGCCTTCTGTTTGTGTCTGTGCCATTAAAGAAGGAGATACCTCTTTCCATCTTTATAGACTGGCTTTGGCAGGGAAAGCCCTTCAAAAGTCAGTCTGTGCACAGACTCTGTGAGGGATGACAAGTAGTCCATGGACAAGCTTGCTGCTAGGTAGGTTAGTCTCGTGCCTGGGTAAATAGGTGGGTAAGGCTGGCACCTGAATCCACAGAGGTGTGCCTGGAGTTTGGGTCCAGACATGATGGTCTGGCTTTGGGGCTGGTCTTGGTCTTGAGTCCACTGGAGGAAGTCTGGAGCTTGGGTCCATGGGGGCTGCCCTGGCACTGGGATTCACTGGAATGGGCTTTGTATTGGCATCTGCAGAGAATTCACGGACTCACTTCAGTCTCTTTCCTTCATGTGGAGGGTATATTTCTCTGTGTCATGCTGTGTGAGCTTGGCGGGAGTGGGGCGGCTA
This sequence comes from Homo sapiens, assembly GCF_000001405.40. Taxonomy (NCBI): domain Eukaryota; kingdom Metazoa; phylum Chordata; class Mammalia; order Primates; family Hominidae; genus Homo; species Homo sapiens. The sequence goes on from NC_000009.12 coordinate 106,370,632, forward strand.
ATGTTGGTATTGTGGAACTATCCTTCCTACCCTTTATTGTGTCTTTTCTTATTTCTCTGCTCCACTTAAGTGCTAAAATTTCTCACCTGGATTTCTTAACTATTTTGAAGGTATTTTGTGCATGTGTGGCTTCATTGTCCATATCACTATCAGCATTTTGGTCAAAGCCATTCAACAGGTCTCTAGGAAGTTCCAAACTTTCCCACATCTTCCTGTCTTCCTTAAAGTCTCTAGGAAGTTCCAAACTTTTCCACATTTTCATGTCTTCTTCTGAGCCCTCCAAACTGTTCCAACCTATACCTTTTACCCAGATCCAAAGTTGCTTCCATATTTTGGGGTATCCTTGTAGCAGCACCCCACTCTCTATGGTACCAATGAACTGTAATTAGCAGTCTCACACTGCTAATAAAGACATACCTGAGACTGGGTTATTTGTTAAGGAAAGAAGTTTAATGTACTCACAGTTCCACGTGGCTGGGGAGGCCTCACAATAGTGGCAGAAGGTGAAAGACATGTCTACATGGTGTCAGACAAGAGAGAAGTGAGAGCCAAGTGAAAGACTAAGCCCCTTATAAAACCATCAGATCTTGTTAGAACTTACTATCACAAGAAAAGCATGGGGAAAACCATCCCCTTGATTCAATTATCTCTACCCAGTCCTGCCCTTAACACATGGGGATATTTCCAATTCAAGATGAGATTTGGGTGGAAACACAGGGCCAAACCATATCAGTAAGAGACATGGTACCTGTACTTGGGTAGATGAGAATATTATTTTCAAATAAGGATAACATGTATTTTTCCTTTTCAAGATACATTCTTATCAATATTTATTATCCTATTAATTGACTAAGGCCTCCAATCCAATATTGAAAAAACCAGTAAGGAGAAGCCTCATCTTTGATGAAGAATTTTGTTGCTGTATTCTATTTATAAAAGGTTTGTGGGAGTGTAAATTAGTTCAACCACTGTGGAAGATAGTGTGGCAATTCCTTAAAGACCTAGAGGCAAAAATACCATTTGACCCAGCAATCCCATTACTGGGTATATACCCAAAGGAATATATACCATTCTGTTATAAAGACATACACATATATGTTCACTGAAGCACTATTCACAGTAGCAAAAACATGGAATCAACCTAAATGCCCAGGGCAGATAAAGAAAATATGGTACACATACACCATGGAATATTATGCAGCCATAAAGAGGAATGAGATCATGTCCTTTGCAGAGACATGGATGGAGCTGGAGGCCATTATCTTTAGCAAACTAACACAGGAACAGAAAAGCAAATACCACATGTTCTCACTTATAAGTGGGAGCTGAATGATGAGAATACATGGACAGATGGGTGGGGAACAATACACACTGGGGCCTGTCAGAGGGCAGAGGGTAGAAGTAGAGAGGGGATCAGAAAGAATAGCTAATAGATGCTGGGCTTAATACTGGGTGATGGGATGAGCTATGCAGCAAACCACCATGGCACACATAATACATGTGCAGGTAACAAACCTGCACATCCTGCACATGTATTATTAATTTAAAATTAAAGTTTAAAAATTTTAAAACAGTAATTACAAATACTGTTGAATTGTATCAAAATCAATTTGTTAGTGTAATTCACATGTTAAACCATCCTTGAATTCTTAGAATAAACTTCAGCAATAATAGAGGGTTTATTCTTATTCTGCCTGATAGAATTGAATAATGTTTTATTTAGGATTCTCATATTTATAGGAACAAAACATCAATATGTAGTTTTCATTTACTGTGATTTTTTTGAGATTTTGTTATTAGAATTATGCTAACTTGGATATGACTGGGAAACTTTTTCATAACTCTATGTAAATACATATTTTTAAAAGCAGCGTAATTTTTCGCATCTTGAAAGTTTGAAAGATTTCACAGACAAAATTAGCCAGATTTATGCTTTAGTAATGTTCTTTTGGTACCTGTTCAATTATTTTTTTTTTAATTTTATTATTATTATACTTTAAGTTTTAGGGTACATGTGCACAACGTGCAGGTTTGTTACATATGTATACATGTGCCATGTTGGTGTGCTGCACCCATTAACTCATCATTTAGCATTAGGTATATCTCCTAATGCTATCCCTCTCCTCTCCCCCGACCCCACAACAGTCCCTGGTGTGTGATGTTCCCCTTCCTGTGTTCATGTGTTCTCATTGTTCAATTCCCACCTAAGAGTGAGAACATGCAGTGTTTGGTTTTTTGTCCTTGTGATAGTTTGCTGAGAATGATGGTATCCAGTTTCATCCATGTCCCTACAAGGACTGAACTCATCATTTTTTATAGCTGCATAGTATTCCATGGTGTATATGTGCCACATTTTCTTAATCCAGTCTATCATTGTTGGACATTTAGGTTGGTTCCAAGTCTTTGCTATTATTGTGGCACCTGTTCAATTATTTTTATGGTTATTTGTCTATTTATTTCTGTTTTTTTTAAGAACCAACTTTTTCCTTGAAAATCATCCATATATCTTATCAAATATAATGAAATAAAGTAGAATTCATTATCTATTTATGATTTTTAGTGTTTTCTTGATCTGTGGTTTTATCATTCTTTTCACTCATTCCTCATTTATTCGTGTTTTCACTGCTTGGGACTTGGTTAAATTTCTTGGAGTGCTATTTATTGGGGTAATGATTTTCAGTGGTATAAATATTCATTTTTAAATGTCTGTAATTTTTTGATCAGTAGCATTTTTAGCAGACAAGTGAGAGACACCTAGGCATAATTTTCTATTGTAAAAGAGGAAGCTAAGATGTAACTATGTGGAGAGGTAACTGAGAAAAGGAGAAATATGGAATGATCAAAGGGACTATCTGAAAGAGTTGATGAGTAACAATTCATTTTGGGGTCACATGTGGACTCTTTGTGTCTGTGCAGAGAGGGCAGAATTTGCCAGATCCCATGTCTGACTTTGTAGGTAGTTATTATAAAAGAATATAGACATCAATAGTACCCAGAAATTAGCTAAAACATTATGCCAAGTTACTCATTATATAGATGCAGAAACTAAGTGACAAAGAAATAAGGTAAATTATACAAGGTTATACAGCATGCTAAAATGGTTGAGGTCTACCTAATCCCAATGCAGTTCCTTGCACTATACAATATTGTTTCTTGTTTTAAAAGTACATATATACATGTAAGTTAATAGGAAGAAATGCAAGGATGCACCTCTGTAAATGCTTTATAAATTTTTTTGATATGACAGCAGACTCTGTCTTTATTTCATAGGTGAGAAACTTGAGACACCAGGGATTAAAGGACAGCAAGTTATAATCAAAAACAATTCTGAAACCTCTTTCAACTGATTTCTTCACCTATCAGTAGCTTAATAAACAACACTATCTTTTTCAGAAATCAATTAATAAAAATGCTATGTGGAAACAAATTGGAAGAAGCATTTATTCTTATAGGTATTCATAGAAAACATTGTTAAGTATTGCTACTCTTTTACTTATTAAGGTAGGAAAACCTAAAAAGGAAAATACACCTCAATGCTTGCAAGGGTCCAGCAAAATTAAGAGCAGACATTATTGTAAAATAACAATCTTTTGAAAGACAAATGAACAAACTAAGGAAAAATGCTATATGTATGAAGGTATTTATTATAATAGTATCTAATATACTTTATCTAATAATATATAAGACTTGATGTAACAAAATTAACTAGAGTGAAAGGTCTAAGTAAATTGTGGTATATATGAGACTATTGTGTAGCTAATGAAAATTTAGTTATCATTAGAAAAACAGGTGTAACTCGGTGCTCTTACCTCTCTATCTTCAAGTTTTTATATTTGGCTCAGTAGACTTCATACACACTGGCCCTGTTTCTCAAATATGCTTGGCATGAACCTGTGGCAAGGAGTTTTCATTTCTTTTCCCTTATATATTAGTTTTCTGTTGCAGCATGATAGCACAAACATAGCCACTTAAAACAGCACCCCTTTATTATCTCAGTTACAAATACCAGAAGTCTAGATGGGGCTGGATCGGGTTCTCTGCTTAGGATCCCTTAACACTGAAATCTAGGCGAAGGACATCCGGACTTTTATCTGGAGACTCCGGGAATAATATACTTCCTGATATACTCAGGTTTTAAAATAATTAAGTTCTTTGCAATTGTAGACCTGAGGTTCCCATCTTCATCCTGGCCTGGCTATAAGCTAGGATTCACTCTCAACTCCTGGAGGCCTCTTCCAGGTCTTTCCATGTGGCTCCTTCTGTCTTAACAATGAACCAAGGAACAATGTCCCTCATGTTGCATTCCTCTCACACTTTAAATCTTTTTATTATTATTATTATTGGTACCAATTTGAGAAAATTCTGCTTTAATGGGGCTAATGTGATTAGATTAGGTCCACATGCATAATCTCCCTCCACATGCATAATCTCCCTATCTTAAGGTCAACTGATTAGTTACCATAATTACATCTACAAAATCCCTTTTGCCATGTGACTTAACACAATCATGGGAATCAAACCAAGGGGTGAAGTTATGAGATCATCTCAGAATTCTCTCTATCACAACACAGATAGCCGTAAGGCTCACTCTCTCAATTCCTTCAGGTCTTTACTAAGTTACTGACTTTTCAACAGCGTTTCTTGGAAACTATCTAACATTTTAGTTGCATTCCTATCTCCCCTAAACTTCTCCCCTCTCTACCTGACTTTTTTCTCTTTAGCACTTATCATCTAACATACAGTATATTTTACTAATTGTATTGTTTATTGTCTGTTTCCTCCATCATATGTGATTTCAACAAGATCAGGGACTTTGTTATTGTTTTCTGCTGTAGTTCCTGCTTCTAGAATGGTGCCTGACACATAGGAGACACTCAATAAATATGCATTTAATGAACAAATAGATGAATGATACAAAATTATATGTAGAATGGGAGCATAACTATTTATTCTCCCATAAACACAATCAAAATAGTACTAAGATGGTAAGATTTTAATAGCTTAAAAACCTATTTCCTAAATTTTTACTGTTGCTATCTTGACTTAAAGAAAAGGCCCAACAGAAGAGACCATCCTCTGGAAAATAGGCCTTAGCCAAGCATGACATACTTAGTGAGCAGATTATTTTGAGATAATGTGAAGGACCCTATGGCTCATCACAGAAAGAGCAATGTGCCAGAGGCAGTGTGGTGGAGGAGAAAGAACATTGGAAATGAAATCACAAGACTTGGATTTGAGTCTCGTTTGTAGCATTTACTAATTGTGTCACTTGAAAAGTCACTCAGGCTTTTTGAACCTATTTCCTCACTCAAGAAATGAAGATGGTAGATACTAAATACTTCCTTCATTAGGCTGTCACGAGAATCATGTGAGATACTTGGTCTATTCCTTATCAAATAGTACATGAAGATGGTAGATACTAATACTTCCTTCATTAGGCTATCATGAGGATCATGTGAGATACTTGGTCTATTCCTTATCAAATAGTACATGCTCAGTCTTACCTGACTTCATCCAGCCCATTCATCCTTTGACTGCTGGGGAAAAGCTGCTTCTGCCATACTGACTTATCTTCTTCGTCTAACTTTCATTCAGTTATAGAAGATCTTTGTTGACAGGGTAGGACAATTTTGTGATGAAAAGAATATGATCAAATTTTTAAAAGAATGTTGATTTGCAATAATATTAACTAGCCTAATACAACAGAAACACAGAAATTCCGATGTGGATATGAAGAAATTTTCCTTTGAGCTTCAAAATATCTTCCCACACTGTCAAGTTATTGTATCTTAAAACTATTTAAATAATTACATTCTATATGACTGGAGTTTGGAATATCAAACATTGTTCACTTCTGGATAGAATATAAATTTTAAAATCAGAAATAAGGAAAGATGGGTGTAAGTGCTGATCCTGTTAATGACTCATTATTTGAACTTGAATCAATTGACTTACGTCTCTTGGGCTTCTGGTACATTCTGAGAATCCTTGCATGCATGAACAAATGATCCTTTGTAGAAAAATAATTCCTATATTAATGAAAGCCACTATCTTTTAAGCATCTGGCATATTTCAGGCACTGTGCTATGTTCTTTACATGCATTATCTTTAAAGCTCAAAACAAGCCAATCAGCAGATGTTATTACCTCCATTTTATACACAAAGAAACTGAAGCTCAAAGATATTACATAAGTTCTCAAGAGGAGCACAGTGAAATAGAGTTTATCTACTGCTACAATCTGTTGACATCATTTTAAATCTGAGTCATTCCTTTCAATGCATTTACTCCCTGGCCCAATTTTGTGTCAAAGAGGATGTGGCTCCAACATTCATTCTATGCCTTTAAGCTAAGTTCTCAGTTTTAAAAAAATTAACATTTTTTTTCTTTTTGCTCCTTGCTATACGCGAGTTCCTAGTACAACACCTGGCACATAGTTGGTGTTCAATAAAGGACTTGTAAATTAATGAATGAAAGAGCAATTTAGGGCCAAGACAGAGCCTTGTGTCATGCCTTCATTAACATACAGTAATATTGGTTCTTTCAGCTACATATCCTGTGGATTATATTGCTAGGATATTCTCTTTTTTTTTCTTTTATTTTTTTGAGGTGGAGTCTAGCTCTGTCACCAGGCTGAAGTGCAGTGGCACGATCTCAGCTCACTGCAACCTCTGCCTCCTGGGTTTAAGCAATTCTCCTACCTCAGCTGCCCGAGTAACTGGGACTACAGGCATGTGCCACCACACCCAGCTAATTTTTTTGTATTTTCAGTGGAGACGGATTTCACCATGTTGGCCACAGTGGTCTCGATCTCCTGACCTTGTGATCCACCTGCCTCAGCCTCCCAAAGTGCTGGGATTACAGGTGTGAGCCACCACACCCGGCCAGGATATTCTTATTTCTATATTTTAACTACAATTATTAAAGGGAGCCATTATAAAATGTTTTGATGTGGACTGATACACTGTATCTGTAGTTTTTCCAAAATATACCATTCTGATAATCTTATTTTATATAAAAAGCTTAACAAGGTGTATATTATATTTTATTAACATATCATTTTTCTCAAATCTTTCCTTCCTTCTCTTAGAGAAGGAATCACAATTTTCAATTTTATCATTTGTTCCAGAAATCTACTTGGGATAGACAAAGCACATTGCATATATTTGTAGCATATTTTGAAGATTTCTGGCAGAATTTTAATAATATATTTGGTAAGTTCTTAATAATAAGAATAAGTATTCATTAAAATTTTCAATGTGTAAACACTGACTAGTCACCTGATCTACATTATCTTATTCATTTCCTCCAAAATATATGAACTAGGCATTCATACCTGAAATACACAAATCAGGAAGCCAAGGCTAAGAGAGTTGTCTCTTTCCTCCTCAAATCCATATTTTGTCTTCCATTTTCAGAGTTGAAATATTCTGTCTCTTTAAGCAACACAGAAACACAATATGGATTGTAAGGTTCCGTTTTCTCTTTGATCTCTACTAAAAATTACAGCACTACTTCCAATACATCCTTCTTGCATCTTTCAAAATGAAGTAAGCCCTGTCACTTGTCCTTAACACTTACTGCAAGAATCATGTAAATCTAGTTATTTTCTTACCAGTTGGCCACATTCATTGTTTCACCTTTTTATACATGTCTTCTAAAACTCTGAACTCATTAGAGTTACAGCGTCTTCACTAAACCTCCTCTCGACTCTTCAGCATCATGAAAATTTATGCTTGTAATGTCACAATTTTATTCCTGTGTAAATTATGTCCTCTGAAATTTTTATTTTGGAGATTAAATAAGCTTTAAAAAGACCCAAAATGCTTATTTCTCTTCTAGTCTTTATTGGGAAGACATAGAGAGTAGCCAATTCAGGTTGAAGTAGGAAGGTGAAGGATAGAGAACTCTGGGGAAGAAGCTTTACTGGCAGTCTGATATCTGCTATGTTTGGGCATTTGAAAAGTGAACATATGACTGATCTGATTTAAAAAAAAAAAGTTAAGCACAGGTACAGAGAAGGCTATTCATGGCAAAAAGAAACAAAAAGCAAGGTAATCCTTAGCCCTAGAAAAAATAAATTGTAGAAAATTAGAAGTATAACTGTTAAACTTAGCTGTGCCATGTGTAATATTTAAATAATAATTTAAGCACTGACATTGATGAAACACACTTAGATAGAGCCATGATAAATTATTTATAAAGATGACTACAACTTCTCCCATTCTGCATGCCTTTTGCAATGAGCCTGTACTGCTTGCTGCCTTCATCGAGAGATAAACTTTCCTTGCTCTGGAGTCCAGGCTTACCCTGTCACCTGCTTTGACCAATATAATGTGGTAGAAGTGATGCTGGAACCCTTTGAAGCCTGACTTTAAGAGATCTTACAGCTTCCATTTTTAAGTTTTTAGAATGTGTACTCTTGGAGTGCTGCCTCAAGACTGCCATGCCCTGAGGAAGCCCAAGGTAGAATTGTGAAAGAGAACTAAGGACCTCTGAGCAAAACCCCAGCTGAGTCCAGTTCCCAGCTCGTCTACTATCTTAATGCAGTCACATAATTGAAGCTAGGTAAGACCAGCAGAAGAACCCCCCAGCAAATCCAGAGAACCATGACAAACCACTATTTTATTTTGTGAGCCACTCCATCTGGGGTGATTTGTGACCCCAACATAGGCAACTGAAACAATATCTATATTGGGCGGATGGAAGGAGAGGTGAAGTTATATAAGAGAATTAAACCATCCACTAAAATCTGAGGATATTTACAAATAATATATTTAAAAATGAAAACAAGAAAAAGAACACTGTGGGTATATTATTAGAGATAAGATACAAGAAGAAACTAGTGTTTAAAGTTGTTGCCTGGGGCCAGACTGTAGGGTGGGCCAGGGGAATGCAATGTTTTATTACGTACCTTTTAGTAGTATTTGATTTCTAAAATGTGAACATGAATTGCTTTGATAAAAATAAATTTTATATATTCTTAAATTGTCCCTGGGATATGCAATCATGTGAAGTTATGGTGTGAGGAGGCCTCAGGGCTTTGCAGTTGAATGGAGAGACAGCTCTAGTTTAGTCAGTGGTTTTCTGTTGTCCATCCTGCCCTTTAAGGCTTGTCCTCCTTCCTAGGTCTCCCTTTTTGGTGTCCGTTCTTGGCAACCAGTTCAAATGAGAATGTGTTTTAATTTGCAGGTGAAGACATTTAGAGAAATTTTAAAAAAACAAGAGTCAGCAATGAGCTGTCATTTTTGTCTTCAGCTAATTTCTGTCATGGCCCCATGTTTTTGGAAGAAAAGGTGGAGGGAAAAAAATGCCCAGAAGTCTGTCCACTACTAAAATCCAAAATAAAAGAATAATATCTTGTCTGGGTGCAGTGGCTCACGCCTGTAATCCCAACACTTTGGGAGGCCAAAGCGGGTGGATCACCTGAGGTCAGGAGTTCGAGACCAGCCCGGCCAACATTGTGAAAACCTGTCTCTACTAAAAATACAAAAATTAGCCGTTCGTGGTGGTGCGTGCCTGTAATTCCAGCTACTCATGAGGCAGAGACAGGAGAATTGCTTGAACCTGGGAGGCAGAGGTTGCAGTGAGCCGAGATAGCACCACTGCACTCCAGCTTGGGTGACAGAGCAAGACTCCGTCTCAAAAAGAAAATATATATATATATATATATATATATATATGTATATGTATATATATATATATCTTTCAACTACTTGCCCTGAGTACTTGAGTACTTCTAAATAGCCACAGCTCTGCTGGAAAAAATACTTGTAATTCTTTTTTGCTTTTTAGGGTCCCTCTTTGGATGTGACTATGAATTTAATTTTACATAAATCTTAGAGAACGTGGGGTTCCTTCAGTAAAATATAGGTAAGAGTAGCTTCAGCAAATCTGCTTATTTTTATTTCTGCCACCTTTCCATTTAGAATTCTCAGTGCCGTTCTTTAGACTGTTAGACTTGCTTGCCTGAAGTGTTTGCTTGAAGCCATCCATTATTTCTTAAAGCAACACGGTCTGTGGCTTCAGCTACACAATTCTGACAACCGTACAACTTGGTTGGTTCAGGCTTTTAAAAAATCAGTCAAAGCCGCTGTTTGGCAATGTGTATTGAGTGATTTTCTCATTTTTCAGCAAGCTGTTGTGGAATTATATTCACAACTCAACTCAAGTAGTCTCTCATTGCCCCAAATATCTCTACTCTTTAACTAGCTTTCCTTTTTTTGTCCTTGTCCCAGCTCCCAGCTTAACCCACCTTCAAAAGAAGCACTACAGGTTATGCTTTCTAGTTGGGTGATTCCAATAAATGAAGGTAGGGCTGTTCTTGGGAAATGGATCAAAGAATATTGATATAGTCAATTTGCATGCAAAAATGTTAAGATGGAGGGCTGAGCTAAAGCCTCTGCCTCTGCCTTCTCCATCCTTGCCAGCAGCAGTTCCTGAGTCCATCCCCAGCCAGTCCACCATCATCCCAGGTTGTGCCAAGCCCACCATCCCTAGGACTTGGAATTGAATCTTATGCTCACAGGCTACTTTCTAGGCTGCCAAGTATAATAACAGTAACATGAATAAATGTCAATTTTGAGTGTCTGCAATGGGCCCAACATTTGAGTGGCTACTTATTATTACTCCTTCCAGCAATCCTGAATGTTTGGTATGATTATTAGCATTTACAAATAAGTTTAAATAACTAGCCTAATACCATATAACTTGCCACATGTACAGACAGGATTTTCTTTCATATCTTTCTAACCATAAAACTCAGTCTACTTAGTACATTGCTTTGAGTATCATTGGCTCCACGGTCCCTGCAAATCATTCTCATACTATTATGTTGACCTTAAACAAATGCGTTCAAAATAATGTACTCCTATCTTACATTGAGTCTCTTTCTACAGGGGCTTATCACTGCCACTTTCTTTCTAATGGATTAAGCTCCCATAATGATGATATTTTTCTGAATTTGGCCAATCCATTTGACTCCATTCTTGATACATTTGTGTGCTTTGGCAGAAGCCAGCCTAGAGAATGGTCAGTCCTCTGAGGTCTCCGCTGACTGGTCTTGCCTGTCTTCCCTCTTTGCTGCCTGTTGCCCAAGACCTCCACCCTTAAATGCAAACATTTCAAAATAAATGAATGCTATATTCGTTATTTATTTTTGTCATTATGTCCTAAGAATTGTGCTGTACTTTCTGGAGACAAATCAGGCTGGGTGTATAATCCCAGTACTTTGGGAGACAGAGACAGGAAGATAGCTTGAGCCCAGGAGTTCAAGACCAGCCTCTGCAACACAGGGAGAACGCCATCTTTACAAAAAGTTAAAATATTAGCCTAGCCAGGTGTGGTGACGCGCATCTGTAGTCCTAGCTACTCGGATCTCTTGAGCCCAAGAGTTTGAGGCCATAGTGAGTTGTGATGGCGCCACTGCACTCCAGCTTGGGTAACAGAGCAAGACCCTGTTTCAAAAAAGAAAAAAGGCCAGGCGCAGTCGCTCACGCCTGTAATCCCAGCACTTTGGGAGGCCGAGGCAAGCAGATCATGAGGTGGGGAGTTCGAGACCAGCTTGACCAACATGGTGAAACCCCATCTCTACTGAAAATACAAAAATTAGCCAGGCAAGGTGGCATGTGCCTATAATCCCAGCTACTCAGGAGGCTGAGGCAGGAGAATCACTTGAACTCGGGAGGCAGAGGTTGTAGTGAGCCGAGATCACACCACTGCACTCCAGCCTGGGTGGCAGAGAGAGACTCCATCTCCAAAAAAAAAAAAAGAGAGAAAGAAAAGAAAGACTAATCAAGCACAGATCCTGATCTCAAGGAGCTACTTCCATTAGAAGTGACTGAGACTGAGATGTACAGCTTATTGAGCTAGTAATAGTAATTGTAAGCACCTATGTATTAATAGTTATTACCATGCCCTACACACTTTACAATGGTTACTTCACATTGTCCTCACAACAGCCCAGTGAGGTAGGTTCTAATCTTATCCCATTTTACAAATAAGGAAATTGTAACACAGAGATCAGATTACGAACCCAAAGAAGTTTGGCTTCAGACCTGAGCTCTTAAACACTACAGGTTTTTATGAAGATGCTGCACAGATTGCAGAAGCATATATCACAGGAATTGAGAGGACAGAGAACTATCATTCAGCTGCATAAAGCTAGGAAGGCTTCCTGCAGGAGGTAGCACTTGGGCTAAACTCTAAAGGATGGGTATGATTGGGCCATAAGGAATGAATATTTGCAGGAAGGGCATTTCAGAATGAGAGACTGGCAATCAGCTGGTGTTTGTTGGCTCTTGTTGCTGAAACTTCAACTTTCCTCATTTCTTTTTTGTGACATAGGCCATCAGCCTAGCATTAAATGTCTGGCAGTGTGCAAGATTGAGTGGCTTTTTTGTCCATCAGTCCAATCTGTCTTTGGAAAAATACCTTTAACCCTTTTTTTAGCAGGATTCCTGATTTTTATCCTGGTTTATCTCTTCTGGGATGGGAGATTCCTTCCTGTAAGAATGTCCGTATGGAAGGACCTTGAACCGAGGACAATAACCAAGCAGGAGAGCAGCTATTAGCCATGTCAAATGAGTAAATTCACTGCCCAGCCAAAGAAAATGTTTCAGAGTTGCTCCACCCCAACGATTGCTCTTAATAGGGGACAGATGGCAGTGGGCTATTTAACCTCTGTGCATTTCCTGCATGTGACATGTCTCTGCTCATTTTGCTTGATGACTGAATTGAGAAGGACAACAAACTGAGATGACTGGGGAGAAACCTGAAAAATGGAATATTTACCCTCTGCTCCCTTCACCATGCCCCATCTGCTCCAGGAAATGGTCATCGTCATGATAGGTTTGTACCCTGTGTTTACTACTGAGGGGACAGCTCTGAGAGAAACCTGGGAAAAAGTCTTACATGCACTAAACATATCAATGCTTTTGACCACAGAAGAAACTGTTGTGGAGATTCCTGGGTTTTCTTCATCCTCTAACTTTAAACCCTTTTCAAAGACAACCTCATTGATCATTTAGCATCTTCTTGACAGGACTCTTCATTCACATCTTCTGATTTCTCCTCTCCAGATGTGCCATCATGGGTGGCCTCTCTCTTATTGCAGCCATTATGTTATTTGTTGTTTTTGTTTTCTTTTTTCTTTTTTTTTTTGCTAAGTTACTACTTTCCTACTCTTGATATTAGGAATGTAAGGTACCTTCTCTTTCTTGTATCTGAACTCCACCCTTTCTGCTTATATTCATCATGTTCTAGTGTAATTAGTCCTTGCCTTGGCAGATAAGTTTTTAATGTGAATTTTCTCAAGAGATGCTTCCAGAATCTTCAAAAGAAGAAGAATCAAAATCCTTTAGTTTCATAAGTGAATTTTGACACTATTTCTCTGTTCGTATATGTGCATATGTGTTTACATGTATGCCTGTGTACATGCACGTATATGGTATATAGTATGTGTGTATGTGTCTTTGTATGTTTTACTTCCTCCATCTAATTTCTATTGTACTTCCCAGTGGTTGACGTAAAACCTGTATGTTACTAGTCTCCCTCTGGAATTCCTGGGAGTCCAGCCCAGGCACAAAAAAAAGAATATGTGGAGTTCTGAGGTGAGCAGTGCCCTTGATTCTGTGCAACAATGATGAATGGAATATAATTTCACAATACAATTCTAATATGAGTAGAGGAAGGAAAAAACTAATCAAATGGGAAAAAAAAGGTGGCAAATACCCTGTAACAGATTATTCCTTTAGGGTGCAAAATACCACCTGCAGAACTTCTCTGATAGTTTTGAAGAGTCCAAGTATTCAATAGTTCAATAAGGTGGTATGAAATCAACATTAGTCACACTGGACAATTTACTCTTCCATAACTTGTTGTTAGGTCAGGTGTATTTTTCCCCTCAGTGAGTTCTTCACTACCTGCTTACCTTTTAATTTTTATAGAATTGCTATTATGTATCTTGCTCCTATAGGATCCTGAGCCATTGCTCCTAAATGCCCCAACTCCAGGCAAAGATCATCTTTGAACTCCTGTTGGTGTGTCCTGTTGATATTTGTTGGTGTGTTAGGTGAATTTCTGTACAGCTTTGAATTCTCTTCCCAGCAAAGCCAGGTTTTATGGCTCTTGCAGATTCACTTAATCTTTTGCAACACATGAATGATCCCTTCATTCTAAAGGCCACATGGTTGATTTGGTAATTTCTATAGATCTGTCTCTTACTGGTTTGCTTTTGTCTGCTCATTCCTTTTCTGTTACTTAATTATTTCAGGCGATTTTTCTCTACCTATTTACCATCCGCAATTCAGGCCATCCTTTATTCTTCTCCTTAATTTCAGAGCTTTACAGCCTACCCTCCAAGAGCCTGGGGTTTCATCTCTACATAGTGCACATTGTGCCCCCTCTTTTTAATTGAGGCAGAGACTAGGAATTATGCAATTCCACACTCCATTGGTCATTTGCAGGGTTGGATTTATGATAGATTTTGTCTCTGAAGACCTCATTTGGTGAAGACTGATGAGGTGTCCTGAAAGGTGGAGAGCAGAATTGCCAGTCACTGGCTACAGTGAGAACTTCTCTGATCTTAGTTCTTTGTGTTCATTAGTTTGATGGGAAAAGTATATTTTTTAGAATTCTGTGCAGGGAGATTATGAGTTTTAAATCACATTTAGAAGTTAATCTTTTAATTTTAATTTTGTTGACTATATTTGTTAAAATAAACCATAGCTTTTTAAGTCTATAATTTTGATTCAAATTTAAGTATAATCAATTAAACTAATTTTAATACAATTTGCAAACTCAGGGCTTATAAAACATTAAGAAAAAAAGCCATTCTAGATATCTCTTGAGCACCTACCACATTCAAAATAGTTCACTAATTCAGTTTTGGAAATTTAAACCAAAATATTAAAATTAAGAAGATAATAAATCTCTAACCTCCATATGTTCAGTCTTTTCACCTCCCAATTAATCTTTTTCATGTTGATATAATGCTCCTTCTGAAATATAACTGAAATTCAGTAGCTTCCCTAAACGAAACCTTCAATGACTTTATACCATTTCATAAATTAAACAGCTATTTAATTTGACAGTGCAACATTCTAAGAATTGACAGTGCAAAATTTCCACAATGTGATTTCAACTTCCTATGTCTATATATATACACTAGAGATGGGATCTTGTTTGCCCAGGCTGGTCTTGAACTCCTAGGCTCCAGTGATACTCCTGCCTCAGCCTCCCAAAGTGCTGAGATTACAGGTGTGAACTACCCTGCCTGCCCTGTCCTCTGTTTTCTTTCTTCCTCACTTCCCCACTCCTTTTCTTCTTCTTTTCTTCCCTCTCTCCTCTCTGTCCTTCTTCTTTTATTCCAAAATATTAAACCCCACAAAGTAGTGAGGCACAAAGGGAAATAAGTCTTCCCTCAAAGACATCCAGTCTACACCCTTCTACAGAGCTCCACAATATGTTCCACGTACTCTGGTCCCATTGCCGCTGCTTCCTATGTTCCCATCACCTGTCCTCACCCACCTTCACCTCAAATGCCGTCTCCAGTACCATATCTCCCACTGATGTTTTCTCCTTCCAAGCTCATCTCCTTCATGAACATCCTACAGCCTAGCATGACCACCTTCTCTGTGCCTCCTATTTTTCCTTCATTAAATTTTTTTTCTGATCATGGAAGGTAATACTCACTATATAAGACTTTGAGAGTGGAGGTAAGTATACATGTAAAATACAATACATGGTCTAGTGTGACAAGGTATTCACTGAGAATCTGGATGTTCAAGTTCTAGTTCTATCCCTGACACTTAGTTGCCAAGTGACATTATGCTTGGCATTTATCCACTTTAGGACCTATACTTTTCTTCTTGAAAAAGTGGACACTGAGTTTCCTGATCTGTAAGTACCATTGTGGTTGTAGAATTCAATGTTTAATTTAGATGTCTATAAATGTGTGTTGTGTGTCTTGGTCCTGTCCCTAGGCAGTGACTGTCACCCTCAGTACCTCAGTCAGGACATGGCCACGAGGTGGATCTTCCAGCCCTATTAGCATGTGTTGAGAGTCACATAATTTTATCCCCAATAGACTCAACTTGCAATAATTTTACCCATTATTTCAAATGTATTATCTCGCTTATCTAATAGTGAAACACACTGGGATTGAATTTCATTATTACATTTAAGGCTTGTTATCCTATGATTTTCTGTAGTCTTTTGCTTTTCCTTTTTTCTTCCAACTTAAAATGATAGCACCAAGCAGAACATTAAAATTCTAGACACTCGAACAACACTGTAAACATTATTTAAATTGATTTTGTTCAAATTCATTGCAAACCCATGCGATGCATGAGTCTATATTAATGATATTCTCTCTTCTGAAATTTGGAAAATTTTCTCCGTCTAGAACTGAAAAAAAAAAAACTAAGAGAGTAACAACTTTATCATAAGATTCATGCCAGCAGTGTTGGGAAACTGGATGAGAGCATAGATTTATAAATCCCTACAGGTCCTTAGAGTTTATACATATTTTTAAAGGAAGCAGTTTATGTTTCTATAATGTATCTCCTCTTTTCTAAACATGATATCCAGGAAACCCATCATTTATGTTGGCTACATAATTTTCCTTCAAAGTAGTCCCCAAATCTTATAAAAGACAACCAACGGGTATTGTGTTTCCCGGGCTTCTGGGTGTTGGGGAGGCAGTGGGATGGAACCAGAACACCAGTCCTGGAACTGACACTTGCTGGCTGGGTGAAAGTGGGCAAATGTCAACTTCCCTGTGACTCAGTTTTCATCTCTTTAAATTGAATTGCCTTTCTTACAAATTCGTGGTGAAGATCAAATAAGATGATATGAGCAAAACTCTTGAAAACTGCATAGCCTCATAGGCGGTCGCAGGGGTCATTATCATTTAAAACTGTCCCCACTGTTCATGAGAAAATTGTCCCACATCCCATCTCCTGGAAAATCTCTGTTCTTGGTGAGGATGAGGACAGTCAGGGGAACTATTTACATTATATTTTGTTTAACACTAAGGTAATAAAATGTAAGCAGAACTTCTGCATTGATGCATTAATTGCTTTCATCTACTATTTCTTGTTAATGGAAGCATTTCTCTATGTTCCCTAGAAATATACTAAATGTTATTTGATTATAATTTTATGCTTATATGGTAATTAGCACTCTTAGAATATAAGCATGTAAACACCCTCCCATCATGAGGTCTGTCCTTAACATGCCATTATCGTATCCTGTTATTTCAGAGGGATGGAAAAAACATCATGTTGTTTGTTACTGTCAACACGGGAGAGAGCGTAAAGCAAGATACCACAGGAAATAAACTGTATAAATTGTGGAAAAATAAGCCACCCTCTTATTTG
Organism: Homo sapiens; assembly: GCF_000001405.40. Lineage (NCBI taxonomy): Eukaryota > Metazoa > Chordata > Mammalia > Primates > Hominidae > Homo > Homo sapiens. Next base: position 106,388,011 of record NC_000009.12, read on the forward strand.
CTCTCTTATAGTATAAAAATACATTATATACATTCCCTCGCCCCAATCACAATAGAAACAAACCAACTAAAAGGAGAAACTCTGAGTATTGTCTCCTAACCTGTCCTATATTTTGTTAGATTATGCTACCTGCTCCCTTCCAGTCAATTTTTAACCAGAAGTGTCTGAGATGAAACAACTCTTGGCTTTGTGTTTGGAAATAGCAGTTTACTTAGGTCAAATAGGTTGATATGTTTGAATTTCTGAATTTTTATTCGATTTTAAAAATATATGTATAATAGCCCACATAAGTGTTTTTCTGTAGGTATTATCCTATTCATTTTTACAGAAGGGGAATTCCAAAACCAAGGCCCAGAGAGATCAAGTAATTTATCTAAGGTCACTTAACTTTTGGAGAATTGAGTTGTAACTTTCCCTCAAGCTCCACATTCTAAAAACTTTGCCATTATGCTTTCCTAATCACTTCTCATCTCTCAGCAACTTTTCTCTCATCTATATTCCTGTAATTCTTCTTCCTGGATCATGTTGCTTCTCATTTAAAGGATGCAATTCTTCCAGTGATCTGGCAGAATCAGCAGATGTCATGCCACCTGGTCATGGATGTCACCCTTTCACAGAAGCAACAGGAGGAAGCACTATTGAAATAAGGCACTGTGGCTGTCTATTAAAACTCTTACATTGAGGCCATTTCCACCAACCAAGTTTCCGAGTGCCCAGATTAATTCCTCGCACAGGGAACTTGTCTGTGGGAATGATGCTTTCCTTCATGAGGTTCATGGGAAACAATCAGACATTCCAAATCTCATTATCTGACAGGTTCAGGCTTCCCAATAGAAAGAAAACAAAGGCAATTTATGTGGGAGGAAAATGTGAGTTGGTTTGCTCTCTGATTGAAAGATGCTAGAACGCCAGACTATAAATCCCAGGTAGACCTGTTTCTTCATAGTTCAGCGGCTGCCCACCGAGTCAGTCTGTGGTGGAAGCACATACTTTATGGAGGGCAATTGTAACAGACCATTTCCACCAAAGACTGCAGGCGTTTTTCTTTCAGCTTACTGGATGATGTGGTCCCAACGTGGATGAGGGCAGGAGACTCACATAATTTCCTGAACCATCTCATGACTCTATTGTAGATGCAAGTTTGTCCTAGTTTTTTAGACTTTCTATCGTTCCAGACCATCAAATTGCTATTATTTTATGGAGATCAACAAGATATCAATATGATGTCTGAAATATGTAACAGGCCAAATGTATGAAGTTCTGTGTAAGAAACTGTATCTGAATGTCAAAGGGATTAAACAAATATGCATTAGGCCCAAGATATGGGCCAGGCACTGGGCTGTGTACTTTTATCCATGATTTTTCTCTTAATTTGCACAATCACTCCCCTATGAGGTTGGTAGAATAAAAACCCACCTAGATCTGGCTTAACTCAAACCATAACTGAACTGTTTCATTGCCATCTGTAATTTAGTCTCCTAATCAGTCTGAACCAGTTCCTGTGTGGGCCAGTTTTAAAGACAAGTAATACTTGTGGAGCATTTTTCACTGGCAGCTCCACTAATCTCTCCTGGCTTTATGCTGGTGATCAGCTAAGGGATGGAGAGTTATTGGCTTGTTCCTTTTTCAGACAGCAATCTTCCATGTATTTAAAAACAACTAGCCATCTGGTACAATATGGTGGCTAGAGAAAAAGTGCAGAACATTTGGAGTCAGACAGATCAGGATTTGGCTCTATCTCATCATACCTGTGTTGCATTAGGCAAATTAATTTACTTCTCTGGGGCTCAGTGTACTTATCTGTAACATGAGGATGACAAAACCTATCTCACTGGGACGTTGTGAAGGTTAAATCAGATGATCATTGTGAAGTGCTTAGCTTGCAATACACACACACACACACACACACACACAATCATGCACCGCATAATCACGTCAACAATGGACCACATATATATTTATGATCGTGGTCCCATAAGTTTATAATGGAGCATATGTAGGAACCTGACATAAAGCACTTGATATTGGCATTGCAAACCAAGTAGGGGAAATGATCAATATTCAGTAATGGTGTGGAGACATTTGTTTTTTCTATAAACCTACATGGTTTATATGTAAACAAACATATATATCATCTAGGTTTATGTAAGTACACTATGGTCACACAATTATGAAATTGACTAATGATGGATATCTCAAAAAATTTCTGTCGTCAAGTGATACATGACTGTATATACACAACACTTTGCATCAGCTTAGAAGCTGAAGCTGGGTTTGCATTAGGTCTCGATGAAGGTAGGCATATTAGAGTTTAAATAGAAGATAAATAATGGACCAAGACTGGAGCTATTGGGTGGTCAGTATGAGAGAGGGGGCAAGAGTTGTGAGGGAGAGAGCTGTGAGACACGGCCCATTAACCAAACATGTAGTATCAGAGAGCAAAGGAGAAGAGGGGAATGCTGAGTGGTCAAGATATGTCCAGGCATTATGACACCTAAATAAAGGCTTTGAGGAGGGGAAAACACTAACTATAACCAGAGACAACAGCTTTTTCAAGATGGCCTCATTAAATGTTTAATTGGGTGAGAATATTTTGTGGATTCCCACACACCGCCAGAAATCCTATGCAGTGTTTCATTCTTTCTGTAAATATCATTTTCACTATGCACAGACACAGACTCATTACTTGCTGGAAAATCTACCTTCTTGTTCTGTTAAAGAACACAAACTGATTATTGAAGTTAAAGTAGTATCTTGCTTTGATGTGTCTCTTTTAGGACAATCTCTCCTGCTCTCCCTGAGAGAATGGTGGGCACAGTGAGTGAATGACTTACTGGGAAGATAAATGAAGGAGGCTTCAGGTGAATGGGCTCTGTGAAGTTGGGGGTCACTGAAAAGGTCAGGCCTGAGGGCAGTATTCCAGAGATCTAAAATACGCTGAAATGCATTGTTGTTATTTCACTCAAGGGGTAATTGTTCCCCAAAATGCATTGCCTGCAATATTTCAGGTTGTCTTGATTATATATGAACCCACATACATTGTGGTCTCTCCTGTGAGCGGTTCAGCTCTAGTTAAGTCTTGTAGGGAATGTAGAGAAAGCACAAGATGTGGTCTCTGTGCTCAAGGAGCTTGTTTAGCTAAAAATGGAGGAATAAAACCTAAGAAATAATAGAAGATATATTCAGTGTGATCTTGATCCTGAATATAAGTGGACTTGGAGACCAAATGCTTATGTTCTGGCAGATGCTCATCAGTGATGAAATATTCATCAAACCATCTCAAAATGGAGAGGAAATCAGGGCAATGTTTTAATGTCAGTATACATATGTGTGTTGTAGAATATATATAATTTGATTATTATACTATATTTTATTTCTCTCTGATATATATATATATCTCCATATCTGTTAAATACAAACATATCCAATTATCTTTCCTTGTGACAGATTGTTCTTTATTTTGCTCCTATTATTTTTTCTTTAGCTTTTTTCTTTAATTTTGTCCTTATTTTGTGGAATGATCATGAAGCTATAAAGTAGTTGTTTCTTCAAGGCCCATACTTGGAAAAATAAAAAAAAAATTGGGGGTTGCCAAAACATTCTTCTTTTAATGCCATTGATCCTTGAAAACCACTTGTTTGAAGCAGAAAGAGGTGGGTGGGTCAGGTGCAGTGAGAGAAGACTTTGTGGAAGAAGGAGGAGCTTGTTGATAAAGAAGGTGTGTGTTGGGAAAAAGTAGATAATAACATTGAGATGGCCAGGCAAAGCCCAGGTTAGGAATTTAGATTTCATATAGTAGGGAATAAGGGACGATTTACTGTCTTGAATCATGGCCACAGAATGAAAACTGTGTTTAGGAAGTTGAGATTGTCATTATGACATAAGATGGGTTAGAGGAAGGTCAAATTAGGGCATTTATTTTAAGAAAAAGCACTAGGAGAAATTCCATTCAGATTTGCTGAAAGCTCAAGAAATTTTCAAATGGAAGTTTCAACTAAGAGGAGAAAATCTAGGAGTGTAGTACTAAAGATAAATTCACAGGTTTCTTGGCTTCCACTGCTTGTAAAGTCGGAACATCACAGTTGAGCTCTTTCTTCTGCCACTTACTGCTCCACACTGGGCAATCTAGTAGGATGGCAGGAGAGCAGCTCTGGCCTGAGTGTTAATCACGACTTCATCTCCTAGTAATTGTGCAACTTTGGGAAATTTCAGCCTCACCTTCCTCATGCAAATTATATGAAACACAATGTTACCTCGTCAAAGGCTGTTTTGAGGATTAAAAGAGGTAACACATATGATGTACTCAGCAGAGCATATGGCCCGGAGCAGGTACCCATTAAGGAAAGTTACTGTTTTTATCTGTGTGTTCTTGGACAGGACCCTTAACCTCTCTGAGCTGTGACACACCCAAATGTGAGAGGAGGTGAATCAGAGCTGCCTCGAATGGCTGTTGTGAGATTGAAAAGAAGGGATGGATGTGAAAATATTTTGAAAACTATAATTTGTTATATAGATGGCTAGCTTTTATGGTTATTGTTGTCCATAATAACTGGTGTAATATATAAATCATGTGTCTAGAACCTGAGCTAAAATACATTTTTTTTTTCTGCATTCAAGTAGTGTGTTGGCTTACCAGAGAGGTGATAATTTACACAATATTTTTATGTTAACAGCCTAGTCTTGGCAGTAAGTGCTGAGCTGGCCTGGAGGAGATGACAGAGGTCCATGTTAGGGTGATCCACAGACCATGTCATGAAGGACCTTCAAGTTAGCCAGGTGTCCAGATACCCAGGTTGTGTTGGTGTGATGTGAGAGGCTTGTCCTGAGCTCATTGTAGCTGCTCAGTAACCCTGTTTTCTTTTTAAAATTTATTTTATTTTTTAATTTTCTAAGAGACAGGGTCTTGCTCTGTCACCCAGGCTGGAGTGCAGTGGCATGGTTATGGCTCCCTACAGCCTTGACCTGCTGGGTTCAAACAATTCTCCCACCTCAGCCTCCCGAGTAGCTGGGACTACAAGTACATGCCACAACCCCCAGCCAGTTTTAAATTTTTCTGTGGAGACGGGGTCTCACTATGTTTTACAGGCTCCCTGTCTTCTAATGAATTACTCAGGCCCTGTGCTCATTCACTCAATCAGCAAACAAGCCTCAAGAACTTACCATGCGCTATGCCCAGTGCTAGGTCCTGTGAATACGGAGATGAATCATTCAGAGTTGCTAGTTGGAGGTGCTTATAGTCTTCAAAAGAAATAAATCCAGAAACCAAGTGCCAAACTACAAGTAAAACAGCCATGTGAAGCTTCTGGATAATTCAGGCTTCTACACTAAGCCCTGTGTGGTGTAGGGGAGACAGGTCAGGGCACAGTGTCAGGAGGCTTGAGCTCAGTCAATTACTAGCTGTGCAATGTTGGTCAAAGAACTTAATCATGCTGGCACCCGGTTTCTACCTCTAGAGTATGCTGGCTATATACACCTCCTGTGGTTGTTACACATATCAAAAGAGAGAATCAAAATCTCAACACACGGCTACTGTTTTTACTATAGAGGGAGGATATAACATGCACACACACAGGATAAGCTCTTTTCCAAGTGACCTTACTTCTCTTTAGTTGTTGTACACAGCTAAAGGGAAAACAGTATCAGGACAACACTTTTGATTAGTGGAAATTAATTTCTGTTGTTATTTTCCATCACCTAAACTTTGAGATATATCCTTTCGTATGTATTATTTCTGTGATCCCTAAAATAGCCTAATAAGGGACATATATCATATCCCCATCTTATAGTTAAAGAAGCTGAGGCACTGAAAACCTAAATTTCCTGCCCAAGGAATACAGCTAAGGAGAGATGGACTAAGATTTGAACCTAACTGTTAATACTTTCTGTTTTACCATGTGAGAGGAGGCTTCTGTAGTTATTTCTTCTCATTCTCAGTGAAGTCTAGAAATTTGAACTTTTAATTTATTTGTCATTGTCATTTGGTTTATTTGTCATTGTCATGCTACCACTCATGCAGTCTGGGTTAAATATAAAATCATCAAATGTGTTATCATTTTGACTAAAGGATACATCCTTATATGTTTGGGGTGCCCTTTGACTCTATAAATAATAGAGTATGCATCATCCATCTATGAGTTAAGATGAACTTCTTTTTGAATCTGTTCATGTATCCATAATACTATGCCATTCCAAATAATTATTATGGCAGACTATAATCAATACGACAGTGAGGCTAGAAATTAATATTTGTTGGACACCTACCATTTGCCATGTACACTGCATATTCCATTGTACACTAGAATTGCATTCAATCCTCAGATGACTTATTGAGTAAGTGGTTATTTGGTGCTTCCTGTGTTTCAGACGTTCTAGGTATTGAGGGTACAAGATCAAACAAAACAGACCGAACCCATGATTTTGTGAAAATTCACATTCTCTCAGGAGATATAAACAATAAGCAAAGTATGTGTGCCAGATTAAGGGAAGTGCCACAGAGGAAAACAAAAGCACAGGAAGGGGTAAGGGGAATATTGGTGGGGTAGTGGGGAGTTGCCTACATGCAGTAGGAAGAGTTTCATGCAGGCAGAAACTTTGAGTAAAGACATAAAGGAGTGAGGAAGACAGTCAGGTTGACATCTGGGGAGGAGTGTTTTAAGCAGAAATAAATAGCAAGTACAAATGTCCTGAGAGAGGAGTATGGCTGGAAAGTTTGAACAACAGCAAGGAGGCAGAGTGGCTGGAGAGGAATGAGTGAGCAAGAGACTAGCAGGAGATGAGATCAGAGAGATTATAGGGTCCTGATCACAGGGAGTCTGTAGACCATTGTAAAGATGTTGGCTTCTAATCTAAATGAGATGGAAGCCACTGGGGATTCTAAGAAGAGTGATGCGATCTGACTTATATTTGAAAAAGGCCACTCTGGCTATTGAAAACAGATAGACTTCAACACCTGTGGAAAGAAAGGGAAAAAAATGAAAGCAGATAGACTATTTAAAAAGCTTTCACAATAATCCAGGTGACACAGGATGGTCAATTACACCTAAGTAATGGCTGTTGAAGTGAGTAAAAATTGTTGAATTTGCGATATATTTGAAAGGTAGAGTTGACAGCACTTTCAAATAGATGGGATGAAGGGTGTGAAAGAAGGAGAGAAGCCAAGAATGACTCCAAGCCTTCTGGAACTGGAACTGGTAGAATGGAATTGCCTATCATGAGGAGAGAGAAGAGAACCAAAGAAGGGACTAGTTAGCATCTTGCTCACACCCTCACAGGTAGGCTCTACCCCACCACAACCCTGTCTCCTTCCCTAGGCAAAAATCCACAAAATGATTGACTCACTTCACTCAAGTTCATGAGCAGGCACGGTATGGATGAAAAACTCTCCAAGGGCTCTGAAAATGACTCTCTTTCATTCCCTTTACGCTAATTAGGAAGCAAATTCTTGTATTGAAATTAGAGCATTCTAGTAAAACCAAGCCAAACTCTTGGTCAATTTGTTGATTATGGAAAATGGATTTTTTCCTGGCAATTTTCCCTTTTGTTTCCACTGCTTTTCCTTATCCAAGAGATAGACCTAGATGCCAAATTATTTCTTTTTCTCCAAATTATATCTCCTTGGATAACCTCTCTGATGGGTATGGAACCACCACAGTGGTTATTCATAGTTGGTCTTTGCACCAAAGAAACCAACCAGAGGAAAACAAATAAAAGCATGACTGGAGGAAATGAATGACTGGCTCACTGGATTTGTGAAATAACTTTAGTGAAATTATATGACATGTACCCCTGACAGGAATGGACCTAACCCAGCCCTTGTGTGAGGGGAATGTTTATCTGGTTGGCTACCTCCAGGCCCCAGAGTAACGAAGGCAAGGCTTAAATCTCCCAGACCAGATGTCTCTCTAGCCCCATGCCTATAAAGGTCTTCTAATTCAGGGTTCTACAGCAGATAACAAAGGGATTAGTTGAATATGATTGAATCTTCACCCTGGAATGAGAACTACATAAGGCTTAATTCATAGTTGGCTTGGGCATACTTATATATATTACACCATAAATAACATATTGAGTGCTGATGTAAGCTTCCAGTTTTTACCCTAAGGGACAAACAATAATATTTTGCCAGTGTAGCTAGCATAAGTTTATTCACACTGGTATGTTTATTTACTCATTCATTAATTTAATAAACATTTGTTTAGCAACCCCTGTGCCAGCTATTAAGCTAGAAAGCACTAGGGTAGCCTCAAGAAGCTCACAATCCATTGTGGGAAGGGGCAGCAGGGATAGCACATATGCCTACAATAAATAGTCCAGGCACTGTATTAGGCCATGGGGAATGGCAGTGGCAAGACAGACAAGGTCCCTGCTCATGTAGACTTACAGAAAATAATAATAAAACATACACATATGATTAGAATATGATTATTTCAGAAAGTGGTGTTATACAGAGAAGAGAGGATAATTGGATAGAGAATGAATAGAGTAGAGGGTTGAGGTATTTTAGAAAGTGTGGTTAGGACAAGGGTGCCATGATGAGAAGAAAAGCATGCCTGGAAAAAGAAACTCAAATGCAAACAGAGTTGAAGTGGAAAATATCAAAAAGAGGGGGAAAGAGAGAGACATAAGGCCAGTGTGGATAGACCTTAGCAAATAAAGGAATTAGTGAAGTGAAATGAGGTCCAAGAGAGAGGCAGGGGCCCAGATCACCAGGGCTTTGCAGGTCATGATTAAGGAGTTTCGTTTTTATCTCAGGTGCATTTGGAAGCTATTGGAGGGGTTTACACAAAGGTTTGATATGACTTAATTTATGATTTAATCCAAATGTATGCATGGTAGAGAATGAACAAGAGGGACTCAGGCTGAAGCAGGGAGACAGTTAAGAGGTCCTTGCAGGTGAGAGAGGATGGAGATTACGACTGACATTGTAGCAGTGGGAGATACTGAATAATGGTTAGATTTGAGATATATTTGGAGTAAAGAGTAAGAGAATTGGAGCACCCAAAGATGGCTCCTAAGTTTGGGACTAAACTACCAGTGCATGGTGTTGCCATTAAATTACATAGGCAAGTCTGGGGAAGAAAAGAGATTATAAATCAAGAGTGCTTTTAGGAACATTTTAAGTTTGAAATGGTAATTAAATATCCAGGTCTGAAGCTCAGAAGAGAGGTCCACACTGGAGACACAGATGTAAGAGTTATCACACATACTTGGCATTCACCCATATTGTGGATGATACTGCTCAGGAATAGATTTTGATATGGAAGGGGGATGACGATTCCAACATCCAGACTGGAAGCACCGGAGAAGAAGAAACCAAAAAGCATCAGCCAGCTGTAGGAAGAAATAAAAAAAAAAAAAGAAAGACTGATGTCACAGAAGCAAAGAGGAAAGTATTTGAAAAAAGGAGAGAAATGCTCATTTTTCCCAAAGGCTGCAGAGAATTTAAGGAAAATTACAACAGACAATCACTGGATTTGGCAGGTAGAGTTCACTGGCAATCTCAATCATGGCCATTTTAGTGGAGCTATGTATAGGATACTATGAAAACACAAAGAAGAAATCATCTGGAAAATGTACTTTGAGGGAACTAATATAGAATTTGAAGGTAAAAGATTGAAAGTGTAGTAGTCAGGCAAAGACAAGTGTGGGAGAAGAGCATTTCAGCAGAGATTTCAGTTCAATTAAAGGATCAAAGTTAGAGAAATATGATGTAGGGGGAGCTATAAACAATATGATATTGTTGAAGGATAAAATGCTAAGTTGGAAATGTGGGAAAGTTCTGTTAGAGGGCTATATCATAAAGGATATACTGAATGTTATCTGCAAGAAATGAGCCACTGAAAGGTTAAATCAGGGATGTGGCGTTGTCTCATGTATATTTTCAGAAAGGTCACTCTGCAGTATGAGCTATGTCAGGTAAGGTTGGAGACAAGGAAATCATAGATGCGTTGTTGAAATTTTAAAGATAAAAAATAATGAAGATACAGATGAATAGCTATTTGAGATAGAAAAGAGAGAACATATCCTAGAAAATATTGAGGAGCTAAAGTTGTCATGTCTTTATTGATTGGCCATGATGCCTCCTAACTTTTAGCCTTCTGTGACTGGGTGAATGGCAGTGCCAGGATCTGTGATGGGCAAAACTAGATGAGGAGCCAGCTCAAGTAGAGAATTAGTAAGCTCAGTTTTGTGCCTGTTGACATTAGGGTGTTTGTGGGACATGCTAATGAAATTTTCCAGTAGACAGCTGGATATTGATTTGAATTTTTATGAATAGGTGTGAAAAGTTTTCTAGTAGATGACTGGGTATTGATTTGAAGTTTTGTGCATAGGAGATTTTATATATATATATATATATATATATATATATATGTATTCTGGAATTATTTAAGAATACCCAAGGTATTTGACAATTCAGATATTGATAACTTTAACTCTTGCTGGTTTTATTAGCATGGCAGCAATGTCTTGAAGAATGAGTAGAAGGTGAAGAAGCAGAAGTAGTGAGTGTAGACTACTCTTGAGATGTTTGAGAGGCTTGAATTTAGAAGAAGAGGAGTGAGATTGGACAGTCACTACAGGGATATGTAAGATTGATGAGATATGCTCATTTCTTTTAGGATGGGAGAAACTTGAAAATGTTTATTGGCTCAGGAGAAGGAATAAAAGAGTAATTCAGGAGGGAAGTTAGATGATTGAAAAAGTCATGTTCAAGTGGAGACAGGGATAGAACGTACTCAAGGACTCAGATGAGTGGCTGGCTGTGATCAAAAGGAAGGAGGCTGGGCGTGGTGGCTCACGCCTGTAATCCCAGCACTTTGGGAGGCCGAGGCGGGCAGATCATGAGGTCAGGAGATTGAGACCATTCTGGCTAACACGGTGAAACTCTGTTTCTACTAAAAATACAAAAAATTATCCAGGCATGGTGGTGAGTGCCTGTAGTCCCAGCTACTCAGGAAGCTGAGGCAGGAGAATTGCTTGAACCTGGGAGGCAGAGGTTGCAGTGAGCCGAGATCGTGCTATTGCACTCCAGCCTGGGCAACAGAGCGAGACTCTGTCTCAAAAAAAAAAAAAAAAAGGTAGGACAACTCAATCTCTGAGACTGCAGGAGGGCAGTTAGTGTGAATGTAGATAAGGTAGTTACAGGGTTACAGGGATTCATTGAAAAACCTCCATCTTCTACAACAATTAAGAGGCCATTGCTGAGAGTAAAGAGGGTGGGTGTTGAGTAGGATATTTAAAAGTAGGCAAGGTTTGGAAGGTCTTAAGCGAGAAATAGAAAAGGGGGATGATCAAGAGTTGGTAAACAGACTGATGAACCACACTTTGTTCAATCTGGAGAGAATGAGTTTCTAGAATTGCCAATTTGTATGGTTGCATGCTTTTGTAGAAAGAAGCAGTAAACACTCAGGTGTAAAAGTGGAAAGAAAATTTAAAAATTAAATAGTAAGCCAAAATTGCATTTATATTAACAGATAAAGTGAAAAGATGGGGCAAAAGCACTGCAGGTACTAGCAAGAGAGTGGTTTAAAGGCTCATTATGGGGTCCAGATTGGACAGGAAAAGCTGAGAGGCTAGAATATAGCTGACAGACTGGGAATAAATGAAAGATTCAAGGTACCAAGAAGATTGAAGGACAGTTAAAATGGGAGCAAGATATTGAGGGGCCTGAAAGGTGGTCCATTTGAGAAATCACAAAGGATTAATATTCCAGAAAAAGAAACATTCAAGGTGATGACAAGGTCTAGGGAATAATAGAAGTGACGGACTAGGTGGGAATGAAGTGAAGTGAAGTGAAGGTGAAGGCCACAAGGGCTACTGATATTAGATGCAGGATGGCTCATCAACATGGAAATTACAGTCACTCTTATGGCATAGAAGTTTATGCGAGACCAGAATCCATAATGAATGAAGGGGAGGGACCATGAAGCCAGTAGGGGACAGTGATGAGTGAGGATAGAGATTGTAGGGATAAGAGTTTTCATAAGAAGCTGGATGAACCATATATTTGGGAGGGGATAGTCAGGTAGAAGAACTAATGCATGATGAGGTTACCATGGGAAGATTTGTTTATAATGAAAGATTCCAGAAGTTTTACTAGGAACATTTGAAAGACAGAGGACTAGTAAGATTAGGACCAAGTCTGAGAAGATCTGAGCAGTAAAAGCATGCAAATAGGAGTAAGGAAATATAACTATGGGGCTTTATATTTTGGGTAACAACCACTGGAAGGAAGTAGGTAGAACGTTCTGGCTACAAAGATTTACAGAGAACATTGGCATAAAGCAGTAGACATTGAACCCATTGTTGTTTGCATTTTGGCAGCCTATTCTGATGACTGGTAGAGGAATAAACCTTCAGGGTCAATGACTCCACTGGCCTTGGAAGGCTGTAATGCTGGCATAGAGATAGGAGAAGGTAGCAGGAGGCTTCATGTGTACACAGTGGGTCCTCTTTTCCTGACATAATACCAAATTTCTTCTTTTTTTCCATGTGTTCCTTGGTGTTCTTCTCTCTTGCCATTCAGCCATGGAATGTCAATCTCTTTATCAATCTTTAAGTCCTCATTCAATGTTCACTTTTGGCACTTTATCAACTGATTTATATGCAGGTTTTTAACTCACAACATACTCTTAAAATATCTGCTATTTACTCGATAAGACAGGTCTCTCTTGAATCTCTCTTTGAGAAGCTCCACTGCTTTCAATGTATAGAATAATTTTCTCATTGAGACTCAAAATAAAAGTTGACACCTTCTTCATTCCTCTCATTGGGCAACAGTATTTAAACATGGCCACTTTTCACATAATGCTATTTAATTTCCTCCCGTGGCTTCCCAATTCCAAAGTATTATTGTTTTCCCACTTTACACTAACTCTAATTTGGGTTATGTAATAATTGTTGATATTTTTTGAAAGATTATGTGTTTTTATCTTTAGCTTTTTTCACAGGCATAATTTCCACTGCCTTGGAGTCATTGAAGAGGCTGTGTAAACATGAATAATGTAAGAATGACCTGGAAAGCCTGGCAACTCGACACCTTTCTTAATAAAAGGCAAAGTGCAACTTAGAAATTCTAACTGCAGACACATTCCCCTGAACCTTGCTCTCACCATGCAGAGCTGGGAGCATAACAGAGGGCAGAAAATGAACTGCCTTTGCTCTAGAATCAAAGGTTGCTTTTGTGTGCCTTGCTCTCAAACATCATTATCTCTCCTGCCTTGACCTGTCCAAATGCTGGAATTTCCTTGCACAGACCTACCATTGGGACCTACTTGACGTGAACTGTCTCTGTTTACTATTTGAACTTAACCTGAATAGTATTCATCTAGCCTTGTTGGTTGCTCTGGGCTCAACCTATTGTCCTGCATTTCTAAGAAATGGAGTAGATGGGCTTTGGTTGAAGACCAAACTGGTCAAAAGGGCTTGAGAGTGAATCTAGAGGAAACAAATCCAGACAAAACTACAAACCCATATGCTGTGATGAACAGTGTGACTCCTAATTGATAACCTTACCTCTTAACCTGCCCCTGCCAAACCATTACCTATTTACATAAGCAACAGAATGATATGACCAGATCTGCATAAATTATCCATTTACATATATTTGGTCATTCCACACCCTGTTCCAAAAACTAAGGTTTGCTAAGAACCATGGGAAAAAAATTAGAATTCTTCGTAGGACCTTCAAGGCCATTTATGACCAAGCTTTAATCTACCATTCTGTTCCCATCTCTTGCCACTTTTAATCCTGTCCTTAGATTCCAGCCTCACTGTAGTGTTCTTCCCCTCAACACCCTCAACACAGAGGGTTTTTCACATCCCTTTGTCTTGCATATGTAAGTGTCTAGTTGTAAATTGCCTTCTACCATCTTTTGCCTGAAAAACACCACCACAATCTTCAAAGCCCATCAGGTTCCAAATTAAGCTCTCCTGGAAGTTTTTCCCAAATGTCTACAGCCAAAGATAATGGCTCCATCCTATATGTTCCTTCTACACATGTCTATTTAAGTGTGGACACATTTTTAGGGCAGGCTGGCAGGCTAGCAAATCTTGGGTAGGAGCTGAAGTTGCAGTCTACAGGTAGAAGTTCTTCAGAGAAGCTTCAGTTTTACTCTTAATGCCTTTCAACTGATTGATGAGGCCCACCTAGATTATTGATGATAATCTTCTTTACTTAGAGTCAGTTATCTGAAGATGTTAACAACATCTATAAAACACCTTGACAGCCACACCTAGATAAGTGTTTAAATGAATAACTAGGTACTGTATACAGCCTAACCAAGTTGACACATAAAACTAACCATCACAGAGAGATGTAATTACTGTATCCTATTGAAACCAAGTCTTCAAATATTTGG